>NC_000012.12:39732855-39884370 GCF_000001405.40 Homo sapiens | reverse complement strand
AGGAAAAAATTAAAGGGTCTTTTATTTTCTGAAGACATGTGTAAGTTCCTTGTGATTATAATTTCACGTCTGTTTAACTTAAAATAGTGTTAGATTTAGTTTGGCTGGGTCCAGTGGCTCATGCCTGTAATCTCAGAAATTTGGGAGGTTGAGGCAGAAGGGTGGCTTGAGGCCAGGAGTTTGAGACCAGCCTGAGCAACATAGTGAGACCCCATCTCTACATACATACATACACTAAAAATACAGATTTAGTTTACAGAATTGGAGGCTTATGGTGCCTGAATACAATGTATGACATTTTCCAATCTACAAAATGTTAACACTTCAAACAAAACTTTTAAATAATACATGCTTATTATAGGAAATTGGAAATGTGTAAAGAAGAAAAGGCATCAAAATCTCACCACCAGGAGATAGTCTGTCTAAACGTTTTGATGGATTTGCCTTATTTTTCTGTGATTATTTTTAATAGATGAGATTCTACGTGAATATACTTCCGTGTTTTGCTGTTTTCACTTCATCCTGCATGTTCCTGACCTCTTTTCCCAGTTTGTGATTCCGTAGAGATTCAGAGTTATAAATAATGTGCATAAAACTACATATATTTGCATAATCACATTTTTGTGACCAAGCTCTAAAATGTTGCTTTTATATAGAATGAAAGTTCTTGCAAAGTTTTACTTACAAGTGAACCTTTAAGGCCATTACAGCTTAAAATAAAACAGTCTTAATACCGTTTTGAGAGTCAGTGCCAAGAGCAGTGTTTTTCAGGAAGTAAATGCCATGACCTGCCCTTTTTTCACACTCAGGCTCTTAAGCCTCCTGAGAAAAATTTTAAATAAACTGTCACCTTTTTCCGTCCTGTTTGGTTTAATGAGGTGTTAGATGGACACAACTTGGAACTTTGGAGACAATCAATGATGGAAGAAAAGACTAGTTTGTATCATTGTTTGGATCAAAAGCTCCCAAGTCATATGTAGTCATTTTCTGATGTACTCTTCTCCAGCCATGAGGGCACCTGGGAACACAAACTGGCAGTGAGGTAGAAAGGAGTGCAGCTGAATCAGGAGAGTGATGGTGGTGAGGCGTATTCAGAAAAACTAAGACACACTCTACCTTTCCTTTACATCCTACTCCAGGGACTTTTTTAAAAAAAATTTCTTTAATCCTTTGGATTGTTTGAATGCTTTCTTATGAGCGTTACTTATTATAATTATTAAAGAGATTAAAATTTAATGATATATACTTAACACTGAATTATATACTTTAAAAGTGTAAAGTTTTATGGTATGTGAATTATATCTGAGTAAAAATAAATAAGGGAAAAAAGAGGTGGAAAGCCATATGAACCCATTCATTCATGTAAATAAACACTAAGCGCCTAAAAAATATTCATAAACCTGCTTTGGTAGTTGCAAGAGTGAAACACACATAGACTATTCTTTTGGGAGTTTATAGAAATATGATAGAAATAGAAATATGATGTATATCTAAGTAATTCTAGTACCAGAAACAAAGTGGTGTGTGTTACTAAAAGAGGTATAGATAAATTTCTGGGGAAAAGTAGAAGGAAAGAGTAATAATTCTAGCAGCAAATGTAGAAGGAATTTAGAAGACAGGTGTTTGAGTGCTGATTGAGATTTGTGAATCAATGTAGACTGGTCGGGTATGTGGGTAGATTTGGTGGTGATGAGGCAGGGGAGCACCCATCTGATTGCTCACGCTTTCTTGGTGAATTATAGGCAAGACTTCACCTGAGGCTGCATAGACTGGGATAGTGGAAAGAAGGGAAATGCTATGAAAGCATCCTTTGGAGAGTTGGAAAGTGTGCATCTTCGGAAATTTCAAGTGAGGATAATTTGTTTTTCTCGAGACCCTTTCAGCTGCTAGATGTAAATGCAGAGTAGAAGAATAACTGGATATAGGTAGAGTTGGAATTTATGACATAAGTATAACAAAGGATTAACAGGCTAGGGGATTTGAGAATGATGAACGTGATGGTAGCAATGGTTTGGGGAAGTAATTTTCAAAGCAGGATCAGCATCACCTGAAAATTTGTTGGAAAGGCAAATTCTTGGTCCTAGACCTACTGAATCAGAAATTCTGGGGACAGGGCCTAATAGTCTTGTGTTTTTGAACAAGTCTTCCAGGAGATCCTGTAGCACACCAATATCTGAGACCCTCTGGTTTGGGAAATATAGAGTACTCACATAGTAAGTATTATTGTGGGTAAGGGGCAGGAATGAGTGATGATGGATAATAAAAAAGAAGCAGTGTCTGGAATAAAGTCTACATGAGAGTGACATATTATGTCAGTGGGGAATTCAAGTAAGTGAGCCTTGAGAGTAGGCTGTGCTGGCCAGAGAGGAAGATACTTAAAGGATTTTGGTGGTAGAGCAGTTAAAAGAGACTCAGATGTTGTGTGGATGGTCCATGTTGATGCCACTGTCACCGAGAATCATGATACAGGGGTAAGAATGGAGAAGAAACTTGTGAGGCCAGTACTGAAATCTTTATTGAATGAACAGTGACCAAAAAGTAGACAGACAACTAAGTGAGAATTAGAGGATAGTACAGTCATTTCTTGCCCCTCTTTTCATCCTCTCCCACTCCTCAGGCCCAGAGGTATCTAAAATATGAGAGAAAACAGCCTAGCCTCTGGATCCAAGGTGTAAGAAGGTTATGCCTCACGTCTAGACTTAGTTCACAGGGCACAGAAAAAGAGTATGGGACGGCTGAGATGAGAGGAAGATTGAGTCAAATTAGTGAATGTTACCAGGTTAGTGTGGAGGTAAATGGCCAGGTATAAATAGGTGATCTGAAAATCTTAGACTCCTTCTTGTTGCTGAAATAAGCAGATAATTGAGACATGATGAGGCGAGGTGAAAAGTGTTGTCTGACAAGATTAGAATCAGCACTTTTTTAGTAAACTGAAAAAGACAGTCGTGAGGAAATGATGCATACATACCTTAAACATTTTATTTCTAGTTGTACAATAATTCATCATATCCACTGTTTGAGTTTCCAGATTGTTTTTTTTTTAACATAAACCACACTCATATTGTCATCTATGAATTCCAGGCTTTCAAGTAAACCAGAACTGAAAGACACATATGAAGAAACCCAAGGGCAAAATCTTTCTAGACTTTTACTTCTCTCTTATCCCTAATTTTTTATGGTTGTGTTACCCACACAACTTTTAAAATAACTCAACCTTTATTGGCTTTTTCCAAAGCATGAAGTTTTGTTTTTAATGCAACAACTCTCTTTTAGTATTTTATGTTTTGTTGCTTTATGTAACATTTGATTGAATTATATAATTACAATGACAGGCATAAACAGGTTTGGGAACAATCACATGTAACCTGTTATACATACAATTCAACAAATGGGAAATGTGAGCCTATGTGAAGTCCCATATGTTCAATGTCCAGTGGGCATGTATTTTATAGAACGAATTAATAGGTCAATGTGGCAAATTGGTGAATTAGAGTTCAGATGAGAGAGCTTACTTCATTGTTCTCCATGATGCTTAAAGGAAAGTCAGTGATGTGGCTGAGCGAGGTGAGACAAGTAATTGGTCTTTCCTGAGGCCGCCAGAGGTATGAAGCCAGAGTGAGGGAACTCACTTCTGAGGCAGAGGGTAGGTCACATTGGCAACATTGGCATATGTAGAAATCCCTTATAAGTTCCATTGGCACATTTTCTTCTTTGTTCTTCCAAAAAGACTAATAAAGTTATTTAAATTATGAAAATTATTTTCTAATATATTAAATGTGATTAATAAGTAAACTTTCTGCAGGTTTCTATGATTTTTGTATCATTGCTTGATTTAATGGTAGTATGATACAATTGACTAGTATGTTAGCTCAAATCCCTCGTATGAAATATGTGCAATTGTGATTTCTACTTTTCTAACTTTTAATTTTGGCTTTATGTCTTGCATGTTATAATGTACAAAGAGGATTTCTCAGTGTACCAAATACATGAAAATATGTTTGAAAATTTCATTAATTTTTTAAAAATAGTTCTTAAGATGTTTGTATCTTGAGTAAAACATTTTTCTATTAAAGCTATTGATGTATTTTCCATGTGATGATGATTAGGCCATTCTTGCATTGCTACAAATAAATACTTAAGACTGAGTAATTTACAAAGAAAAGAGATTTACTTGGCTTATGGTTCTACAAACTTTACAGGAAGCATGGTGCTGGCATCTGCCCAGCTTCTGGGGAGGCCTTGGGAATCTTACAATCATGGAAGAAGGCAAAGGGGGAGCAGTCACGTCACATGGCAAAAGCAAGAGCAAGCGCGAGAGAGAGAGAGTGCAGGGTGAGGTGCCACACAGTTTTAAATGACTGTGTCTTGTATGAACTCACTATCATTAAGACAGGACCAAACCATGAAGGATCCACCCCATGACCCAAACACACCCACCAGGCCTCACATCCAGCCTTGGGATTACAATTCAACATGAGATTTGCATGGGGACAAATATCCAAACTACATCATTCCACCTCTGGCCCCTTCCAAATCTCATGTCCTTCTCACGTTGCAAAATACAATCTTGCCTTCCCAATGGTCCCTCAAAGTCTTAACTCATTCCAGCTTAACTCAAAAGTTCAAGATCTCATCTGAGACAAGGAAAATCCCTTCCACTTTTGAGCCTGTAAAATAAAAATCAAGTTAGTTACTTCCAAGATACACTGGGGGTATAGGCATTGGGTAAACAAATATTCTCATTCCAAAAGGGAGAAATCAGCCAAAAGAAAGGAAGAAAGGGGGTACAGGCCCCATGCAAGTTTGAAACCCAGCAGGGCTGTAATTAAATATTAAAGCTTCAAAATAATCTCCTCTGACTGCATGTTCCACATCCAGGGAACACTGATGCAAGGGCTGGGCTCCCAAGGCCTTGGGCACCTTTACCCTTGTGGCTTTGCAGGGTTCAGTCCCCAGGGCTGATCCCATGAGTTGAAGTTGAATGCCTATGGCTTTTCCAGACGCAGGGTGCAAGCTGCCAGTAGATCTACCATTCTGGGGTCTAGAGGATGGTGGCCCATTTCTCACAGCTCCACTAGGCAATAGGGGACTCTGTCTGAGGGCTCAACCCCACATTTCCCCTTGGTACTTCCCTAGTAGGGGTTCTCTGTGAGGGCTCTGCCCCTGCAGCAGGCTTCTGCCAGGGCACCCAGGCTTTCTCACGCATCCTCCAAAATCTTGGCAGAGGCTGCCAAGCATTCTTCACTTTTGCATTCTGCATATCTATAGGCTTAACACCATGTAGAAGACAGCAAGGCTTATGCCTTGCACCTTCTGGAGCTGTGGCCTGAGCTATACCTAGGCAGGCCCCTTTGAGTCACAGCTGGAGCTGGAGAGGCCAGTATGTGGGGAGCAGTGTCTCAAGGCTGCACAGGGCAGTAGGCTCTGGGCTGGCCTACAAAACCATTCTATACTCCTAGGCCTCTGGGCCTGTGATGGGAAGACCTGTTGTGAAGTTCTCTGAAATTCCTTCAAGACTTTTTCCCATAGTCTTGGCTATTAGCACCTGGCTTCCTTTTAGTTATGCAAATTTCTCTAGCAAATGGTTGCTCCACAGCATGCTTGAATTCCTCTCCCAAAAAAGCTTTTTTCTTTTTCTGCCACATGGCCAGGCTGCAAATTTTCCAAATTTTTATGCTCTGCCTACCTTATAAATATAAGCAGCAACTTTAAGTAATTCCTTTTCTCCCTCATCTGAGGATAAGCTGTTAGAAGCAGACAGGCGACTTCTTGAATGCTTTGTTGCTTAGAAGTTTCTTCTACTAGATACTGTAGTAATCAATCTCAAGCTCAAGCTTTCACAGACCCCTGACACATGAACAGACAGCAGCCAAGTTCTTTGCTAAGGCATAATACACATGACCTTTGCTACAGTTCCCAATAAGTTCCTCATTTCTACCTGAGACCTCAGCAGTCTAGACTTCACCGTCCATATCACTATCAGCATTTTGGTCACAACCATTTAGTCGGTCTCTTAAAAGTTCCAAATTTTTCTTGATCTTCCTGTCTTCTGAGCCCTCCAAATTCTTCCAACCTCTGCCCATTACACAGTGCCAACGTCACTTCCACATTTTCAGGTATTTTTATAGCAATGCTTCACCCCTGGTATCAACTTTCTGTATTAGGCTGTTCTTGCATTGCTATAAATAAATACCTGAGAGTTGGTAATTTATGAAGAAAAGAGGTATAATTGGTTTACTCCTATGTAGGCTTTTGAGGAAGAGTGGTGCTGGCATCTGCTTAGCTTCTTGGGAGGCCTTAGGAAGCCTGCAATTATGGCAGAAGGCAAAGGAGAAGCAGACACATCACATGGCAAAAGCAGGAGCAAGCAGTAGGAGAGTGGGTCAGGGGAGGTACCTCACACTTTTAGATGACCAAATCTCATGATTTAGCACCAAACCTTGAGGGATCCACCTCCATGATCCAAACGTCTCCCACCATGCCCTACCTCAGCACTGGGGACTACATTTCAACATAAGATTTGGGCAGGGATGAATATCCAAATTATATCAGATGGAAAATATGATGTATTTTTTGAGAAGAAATTCAAACTACTGCATAAAGGTTTAGAAGATTGTAAATATAGTGGTAACCCATCACTTAAATGGTTGGCTGATATTATTTCTGTAAACATTGGAATTCACATGTTTTTAAATGTAAGTTCAGTGTATCTTTCCACAAGTCCATGACCTGACTTTTAAAAATTAGGTTTGTGGATTATTCTGATCTAAATATGTCATCTTCTGCCCTATGAAAGAGAATATAGTTATTGCCTAAATTTTTCTGGAACTAACATTTAAGTGGATGCCCTTGTGATAGTTATTGATACGGTTTGGCTGTGTCCCCACCCAAATCACCTCTTGAATTGTAGCTCCTGTAATACCCACATTTCATGGGAAGGACTCAATGGGAGGTAATTGAATCATGGAGGGGGGGTTCCAATTCTGTTCTTGTGATAAGGAGTAAGTCTTTTGAGATCTGATGGTTTTGTAAAGGGTAGTTCCCCTGCATATTCTTTCTTGCCTGCCACCGTGTAAGACATACCTTTGCTCTCCTTTGCCTTCCACCATGATTGTGAGGCCTCCCTAGCCATGTGGAACTCTGAGTCCATTCAACCTCTTTTTATTTATAAATTACCCAGTCTTAGATGTGTCTTTATAGCAGCATAAGAGCAGACTAATAGAGTTATCCTTGTTTTTGAGTATACAAACAGTCTCCCAATAGGAAAATATAATTATTTTTAGTTAAAAGAACCTCTTTTAATGTAATGGCATTCTAAATTCTCTGTAGTCAATGTACTTTGGCATATGGTACCAAAAAATATATATATTTATAGCACTAGGAACTAAAAGAGCTAAAGAACATAACTTAGATAATGGAAATCTTTAAGGTCTTACAGTCAATAAACTACTCCATACTTTCTCATGTAACTTGTCCTATATCACAATATGAATATGGCCTATAAGACTGTTGAGTAAGTCAGCAGTTAATTTGTCCTACTTAGACTGGCTCTTGTCAGGAAGAGTATGTTCCATATCCCTTTTATTTATGAAATTAACGTCTTTATAGTCCCATGCCAGAAAAAAATTGTCTGTATTATGAGCTGATACATTTTATTTTGTCAAACAGTTAAAATTTTCTAAAATATTTACTATTTTGCCTTGGCTGCCAGGAATTTTAGAGCTAACTCATAGTGTCTATGTCACTAAGGTTTTCATATAATTATCTTCATGTTCTACCTCTCTATTATCAGTCTTTAATTTTTAATTTAGTAAGTCTATCAGGTGTTTTTTAATATAATTATTCTTAATTTCTTCTCAAAAATTTACGGTAGATAAATTCAATAAACCAGCAGACAATTATTTTACTGTTAATTCTATAATGCAAGTAATAGTGAAAAAGATAGCTTTTTCAGAAATTCCTAGGAAATGCTTTGTTCAAATAGGAACTTAGTAGATGTATTTTGTTAAGCATATGAAGTATTCATGTTTAGTCTTTTATTGCTAGTTAAAAGTCAGCATTAGGATAGACTGTCATTTCCAAAGCCTATATGTTTCTGTTTTGTGTGAGTCAGATTTAAAATTCAGGACTGGAAGCTGAGTGTCACATAATCTCTAAGATAGCAATGCACGTAGATTTCCGGCCTTGGCTGTTCTTAAATGTCTACAGAGAGTTGCAAACCTTTCAACTTCACTCTGGGGAAGAGATGGTATGTGTGAGATGACCAAAGTTGGCCCAGGGAATCTTTGAAGAAGATGATAGTTTGTCTGATAGATATTATAAAATGACTTTGAAAGGAGAAGGTATGCCTGCTTTGAGTCTAAAAAGGAAAGAAAGCCTTTTTCAGTTGTTCATATTGTTCTTTTATGCATAAGAGGGTTCCCTTATGCCTTTGTGCAACTTTTGAATGAATACAGTCCCTTGAAAATGCAAACTACTGCATAAAGGTTTAGAAGATTGTAAACTCAGTGGTAGGTAGCCCATTACTTAAATGGTTGGCTGACATCATTATTTATGAAAACATTGGAATGTACTTTGTAATTGTAAGTTAAATGTATCTCCCCATAAGACCATGACCTGACTTTTAAAATTAAGTTTGTGAATAGTTCTGACCTAAATATATCATGTCCTGCCCTGTGAAAGAGAATGTAGTTATGCCTGATTTTTCTAGAACTGATTACCTTTTAAATAGATGTCCTTGTCTTTCATTCCTTCCTTCTCATTATAACTGTTGGCTTTTGCTTATTTTACTGCTTATTAGTACGTTTACTGTGATAGCCAGAATAATGGTCCCCCCAAGGACATACAAACATCCTAGTTCCCAGAGCCTGTGAATATGTTGCATTACATGGCAAAAGGAAATTAAGGTGCAGACTGAATTAAATGTGCTAATCAGTTTACCTTAATTAGGGAGATTATTCTGGATTTTCTGAGTGGAGCCAATATAGTCACAAGGGAGGCAAAGCAAAGGTCATAGTGAAGTAGCATGAGAGGGACTTGACAAATCATTGTTGGCTTTGAAGACTGAGGAAGGGGGCCACCAGCCAGGGAATTAGGAGACCTCTAAAAGCTGCAAAAGACAAGGAAATGATTTTTCCCTGGAGCTTCCAGGAAGGGACAGAGCTCTACTGACACCTGTGATTTTTGACCCCCAAGTGAGACACTTGTCAGATTCGTGACCTACAGAGCTGTGAGATAATAAATGTGTTTTGTTTTAAAGTCACTAACCTTGTGGTAATTTGTCATGGCAGCAACACAAACTAATATATTTACCAGGGTTAGAGAAAGGAAGATGAAAATCAAGGCAGTCTGTACAGGACAAAATTTAGTGTGGGCTGAAGTCGCAGCTCTTGCTCAGAGGGAGATACAAGGCTGTCAGTGAATTTCAGCTCCTCCCCTTACTGTTTTCCATTAATCCAGATAATCTGCAATTGCCTGTTGCCAGTATAATGATTTGAAATAGGCTTCAGAACAATATACCTTTAGTTCAGTCAGCCTCCAGTTCACCCACTTGGCTCTCACCAGAGTAATGTCTTCATAGAACAGATTTAATCCTGTTATTTCTCTTTAAACTTCGCTTTGTGATTTCCCATTGCCTACAATACAAAGTCCAAACATAGAGCATTACATTCAAGTCCCCTCCATAACAGAAGCTTCTGCTATAGCCTTACATCATACTTCTCATTTGTATGCATTCTTTTTTTTTTTTTTTTTTTGAGATGGAGTTTTGCTTTTGTTGCCCAGGCTGGAGTGCAATGGTGTGATCTTGGCTCACTGCAATCTTCGCCTCCCAGGTTCAAGCAATTCTCCTGCCTTAGCCTCCTGAGTAGCTAGGATTACAGGTGCCCGCTACCATGCCCAGCTAATTTTTTGTATTTTTAATAGAGATGGGGTTTCACCATGTTGGCCAGGCTGGTTTTGAACTCCTGTCCTCAGGTGATCCACCCGCCTTGGCCTCCCAAAGTGCTGGGATTACAGGTGTGAGCCACCGTGCCCGGCCCCTCATTTGTATGCATTCTGTGTTCAATCAAGGTGAAGTACTTATGTCTGTGAACCCAGCATACCATTTTGCACTTTAGTCCTTCAGATGTGTCATTTCAGTGACCTCCAGTGCCCTCCCAGATCGTCAGACCTGCTGGCAAACCTCTATGACAAGGCACAACCCTAACATTAATTCCCTGGAAAATCAAGAAATATTCTACAGCAAATAAATTATTTGCTCTGTCCTTTGTGCCTCACTGTTGCTTTTATGTGTCGTGATATTAAAATATTGTCTTTCCATTTCATTCTTTTAAATTAAACTATGAGCTTCTTGAGGGCAGCAACAGGATTTAATAACATATCTGTGGGATCTTAGTAATTCACATAGCTTATACACTAGGTACTTAATAAATAAATATTCAGTGTACAAGTGATTATGTTACCTAACCTGGACAGAAGACACGGAGGTGCTATTAGAATGCAGGTTTCTGAATCCCAGGTCAGTTTTTGGTTACATTCTGACTCTATAACTTAAGTACCTAAAATACTTTGTATAGCTATGGAACTTTTTTTCATTTTAAATAAAATTTAGACAACTTATTCTGTTTTATACTACTCTCCTTTCTATCCCTTCATTTAACACTTGTGATTTCATTGTTTTATTTTATTGAAAATGAAAGCATCAAAATAGCTTCTGTTTTAATTTTCCCCTGCCTCTATATGGAAGAATTATTTTGCACAATATAACTATTCTTATTCTTAAATTATTGTGAAGATTCTGAAACTTAGTAGCATGACACATGTCAAATTCTTTTGGCTTTAAATATTTGAATTTTCTTTCAATATTTCTGTTTTCTGCCTTTTTAGATTTGGTATTTATGTTAATTTCTTAGTGATTACATGTAAGGTTTGACATTGCCATACAGGTCTTTATGAAAATGTATATGGTAGAACTTGGAAACTATAAAACACTGCACAAATGGAATGAATTGTTTTCATAATTGTTATCATCACTTTACACTCTGACTGCAAAACATTCGCAGTTTTCATGATGATGGGAGTAATTCCACTGGGAATTTCTCTTTTTGCAACAGCTGTCAGAATTCAGTCTTAAAATGGTTGGCAGCTTTTTAGTGTGATCAGTAAAACACATCCTTCATGCTACATAGTTAATTTATAGGTTTGGTTTATTAATTTAAAAAAGGAAAACACTTTTTTTCAAGATGAATGAGTCCATGTTGGTATTAAAATTTTAGATAAGAACCATCATCATTAGTTTAAAAAATAGTAGACAGAAGCCATTGATGAATCAATGAGACTTAAACGTATTCAAAACAGATTTGATTTTTGAAATATTATGAAGGTATTGATAAATATTCACAAACTGTAGATTTTTAACTATGGAAATATTCAGCCTGATTTAACATATTGCTTGGATGACCACTGTCTGATGTGAGTAAAGCTAACTTGTTTTAGAATGGCTTGAAAAGCTGGGCAAAGCCATGGTTCAGAATGTGTATTTAAGATTTGAATTCTATCACATTTCATCAGTGACTCACCAGCAGTATTTTGTTTTCTTTGTTTTCAGGTTAACTTTAAAATAATCAGCTGGTTTAGCTATTAATGTTTCCACCAGAAAAGAAATGTCTTGTGATAAACTTGTCATCCTTAAATGTGCCAGACATATCTTCCATTGTGCATCAACAAACTGGCATTATGGTCTTTTAAAAGCCAGTCTCCAGTGAGTTCACTTAGCACGAAATGAGTCTACAGAGCTTAATCATGCTAGAGACTTAGCTCACCAGAGTACCCTTTTTCGGGAAACATAAATGATTCTCATGGGTCCCATGTCAGTTTCTCATCTTTTTACACAATGCTAGATACATTCTGACACTGTCTTACTCATTGTGTCTTTTTTGAGGCGTTCCTTCACTTGTCCCAGATTTTTACCACTATATTACATTCTCTTATGGCAGTCTTTTAAGGACATTAATTCACAGTGAATGATGACTTCTGATTCATTCCATGGACTTGCAGCTTAATATAACATAACCTTATTATGTGGCCAATTAAAGTGATACAGTTTTAGTGAAACTACCAGCTGCCACTGTCCCTAGTTGTGGGATGTGCATCACTTTGGAAGCTTTCAACCTTATCTACTTGCTCAGGTGCCTTTTCTTGATTATACAAACTCCAAAATAAATTTATTTGAACATAGTCTTTATATTGTGATCTTTTCAACAGCTTGCATGAATTCCCACGTTAATTTGATGTTATTACTGTAGTTCTCCTTATATTTTTTTCAAATTGAATACATCTTTTTCTATCAAAATAACCCTGTTTCTTTGGGTAACTATCAATAGCAATTGTTTTATTCATTGCTTTGCAGGTACTACAGTGCAACCATTCTGCAGATGTCTGGTGTTGAAGATGATAGACTTGCAATATGGCTGGCTTCAGTTACAGCCTTCACAAATTTCATTTTCACACTTGTGGGAGTCTGGCTTGTTGAGAAGGTGGGCCGCAGAAAGCTTACCTTTGGTAGTTTAGCAGGTAGGTGGCTGGATAAAGAATTCAATTATAAACTTTATTTCCTAATAACTTCAAGTTTAACCTTCAAAAATACAATACTTACACCACTTCTAATATTGGTTTCTCAGCCAAACAACAAAAAAATTAGAGTTCTTCTAGACCAAAAAAGAAAAAAAAAAGAGCTTTTAACAACTGTTACGCTACGTGACTAGAAACTAGAATGAGTAGAAACAAACTGCAAGAATAATTTGGATCTACTGAGGGTAACATTTTTCTGTTACTTGAGTTCCACTCAAAGGTACAAAAGTGAAAAAAAATAATTGTTTTTTTTTTCTATCCTTTTTTGAAAAACTAAAAACTTTGGATTCAGAAACTCACTTTTTAACATATATTTTTAAATTTGACATACAATGGAATTAAATTTGGAGCATTTTTTCAAAGCTCTTTCAGCAGTGGAATATTAGAACCATGTAATTTCTTCACAAAGCAGGGACAAACTCTTTTGTGTTTGAAACAGGCCTAAATTCCAGGGTAAATTCTGGTTGGTTAAATGTATTTTCTATGATAGCAAAATAAAGCAAAACCTTTTTTTTAATTCCCAAGTATCTTTTGTGTTTAAATTCTGCCCATTTTATTTATTATTTCACTGTACACAAGGACTGTTTCATTGATAGAATGAGACCCACATATTTAACATTGATTTTACATGGCTGCATGGTATAATTTTCTAATTTTTTTCAAATATGCAAGTACATTCCTATGTATCAATTAGCTATACTCTAATAACTCCTTTATAAGTTTATTTGGAGTGAGAATGCATTTTTCCATTAAAAGATAGTTTCCAGGGCAGCATTAACTAAATTCTATTTTAACCAAATTGTATCGAAAACATTGATCTAATAGAACTGTTTCAGTCACTCATCCCATATTTGATGAGAAAATACATTCTAAGTTCCAAACCCAGTTATCAGAAATACATACCCTCTCCTGACCCTCATTCCAGAATGAAGAGTAGAACGCTTTCACCTCCTGTTCTTGCCTAAGCAGTGGGAGCCCTTGAATCCAATAATGTGTGCTGAACTGCAGTATCAGTGCTGGAGGGAAAGGTGAGAGATTGTCTGATTAAGGGGCAAACATGATTGCCAACAGCCAGGATATATACTGAACTAAGACAGTAGGTAAATGAATAAAAGTGAGGGACAAGTAAAGGTTTCAAAACCATGTTTATAAACCTGTTGAAGAAACCAGAGGTATATAGCCTGGAGAACAGACTAAAGGCAGAAGCCTACCAGGTATTTTATTTTAGCAGATAGTAGATGTTATGAGGACACAGATTTTTACTTAATATAAGAAAAATATCCCCAATAATCAGAGCTATCCAGCAATGAAATGGACTGAATCATTAGGATAGTAAACTCTCAACGAAAGGATAGATTACTATCAGGCAGTGATGTGTTAAAAATAAATTTCCACAGTGGGCTGGAAATTGGATTTGCTGACCCTTGATTTTCAGATGAATGCTAAGAAGAGATAATAGCTGCTTTTAAATATTTTTAATGGATGACACCCTTCTTTTTAAATAGAACTCCAGTATATTGCTACCTCAAGAAGTCTATTTTTTAAATAGAACTTAATTGCTTCTTCAATTTGGGATTTGGCCTTTGAGATCTGGGGAAAACTGACTAAACATTATTTCTAGCAACCTGTGTTCGTTCCTTCATTTGGTATTCCAGTAAAACACTTTCTTATCAGTTCTGTAGGATTTTTGAGCCCTTATTGATACAGAGCTCCAGACTGTTTGGATTTGAATAGTGTGACTTTGGGCAAGGTTCTATTTTCTCATTTGTGAATGGGGATTAATTATCATCCCTACTTCACAGAGATGTAATGAGGATTTAACACATTTACAGATGTATAGGATTTCAAATACTACCTGACACAGAGAGTAAAGGGCTCTGAGCATTTTAGCTGTCACAGCATTATTGTTACCAAAGAGTGAGCCTTTGTTGCTTGAACAAACTTAGTGCAAAAGCAGCCTCCATCGTCATAATCTAGGAATCTTCCTGAACTCTTCTGGCCTATGTCATGTTTCCCTCTCAGTGTAGGTCTTCTGCCCAAGGATTTCCAGAGCCATCCCTGACTGTTAAGGGGAAGTATTAAGACAATTCCTCGGGAAACACCAGGGGATTTCAGGGTCTGCTTCTCATGAGCAACCTATAGGCACTTTTCTTTCCTGCCTTGTTCTCTTTGCAGCTGAAACCCACCAAGGCCTCAGTTCTGCCCACTACAAACACTGTACAGTGATTCCTTAGCTTGAGAGACACAGTCTATTTGATTTCCTTATTATGTGGCCAATTCAAGTGATACAGTGGATATAACAATGGTTTGAGAGGTGGAAGTCCTGGTTTCTTGTCACAAGCCTCACAGGTCTCCTCTTTTACCTGTACACATAGTAAATGGTGCCATTCATGTGGTTCTGCTGTTTCAGTGATTAAATAGGTCCTACTAGAAGATAATGACCAATGGACCTTTACACCTTCAGAATAAGAAGTACCATTCAACAACCTTGTTAACACATTAGTATTACTCCAGTGTGACCCTCACTCACAATTGATTTTTCTTTCACATTCCTATACTGATTCTGTGTTAGTTGTATTTTTATTTCAGTGTGTTTTTGTTTTATTCATTTATATGTAGATATATACTTGACATTTTAATAGTACTAACATACGGTTCTATGTTAAATTTCTTAAATTGGCTATAGCCTCGAATTTTTAACCTTTGATTCAGTATCGTTCCCTATTTTGTGTTCTTACTATGATTTATTTTATTATATTGGACTAAAAATAGTGAAAAATGTTATATCAAGATGATTTTTTGTTAGATATTCATTCTTTTAAAATGATTACAAATAAAAAATATGTAAGCCTGGACAAAGGAACTCTTTATACAAAGAAGTACAAAATATGTAGTCCATGAATAATCTTAAATGTAGGACATTTTTGGTGTTTGACTTTTTGTATTTTCAAAGCTTGTTCAGAGAACTGGACTTTTCTGGTAAATATTACAAATTTAATGACAAATTCTTGATTCTTTAATATTGGAAGATTTGGATCTATGTAGCTTTATTGGTAATGAATCAGAAAGCCAGAAAGATTGTGTTTTTCCCCCCTCATGTATTTTGGTAGTGTAATATTTCTGAAAACTTCACTCACAGACGGTCTTCATCACAGTTGCCAAGGATACTTATTTTAAAACATGGATTATTGGGCCTTAACCCAGATCTACTAAACTAGAATTTCTGAAAATGAGACTTGAAATATGTGCACTTTAGACACATTCCCTAGGTGATACTTATGCACACAAAGTGTGAGAACTACTGCTCTGGTAGAGTCATGGGAAGGGAAATTATTTTGTTTTTTTGAGTATTTACTAATAAGCCAAACACTGTACCTGGTACTGATTATTACAATAGATATTTTTAATAATGCTATTTATTCAGCACTTTTCACTTCCTGTGGAGAATATTTTTATTTGCCAAATTATATCAAAATTCCAAAATCTAATACTGTATTTGGTTAAGAGAGACTCTTCTCTTGAAACATAAAGAACATGCCAAAACTACACAGTACACCAGATAAAATTCTTTCATCCAAAGCCTTCTTGTATTAGACTCAAATCCAGGTTGTAATAATGAATAACTTGACAATAACCAGATTGATTTTAAATACTAACAAGGGACTGATAAAACATCTGTAACTAACTAAATATAAGTAAAAAGGTAATTCAAGTTGTTTTATGCTTTAATAGTGTATATGAGTAGATGATAGGACTAAGTGATTACTTAAAAATTTATTTTATAAATAAAGTCGTTTAAGATACCATTTCCTTCTTGTAAGGAGCTTATCATGTCATAGGGGTTTTAGCCCTGTCTTGGCATCATAACCACTTGTGGAAAGCTTTAAAACTCAGATATTTTGTACTGATCTTCTGGAGACTCTGATTCAGAGGTTGGGGTACATCCAGGCATTTGCTTCCAACAGGAAGCCAGGATTGAGAAACATCACTATATATAATAACAAAAGAGTATAATGCTGGCTTTTAAAATATTTTCCTCCAAAATGGGCCAAAATAAAATAAATTTGGCTTAAGAAGAGTTAACTTTTACCTATTTAGGAATTTTCTATATACAGAATAGTTTATTTCTCATAATTTTTAGGTTGGTTGGACCTTAAGAGATAGATGTAGAGTCATATTATCCATATTGCAGAGCTCTCATTTAGGATAGTTGTACCATACTAACCTCATGACTGTAATTGGATGGACTTAACAGTTTTTTTTTTGTTTTTGTTTTTGTTTTTTTCAAAAATAGCCAACATTGCGAAAATGTATAGTATGGTGGCCCATCCATTCAACCAATATTTATTTGAATCTTTATATGCCAGGCACTAGAATTGGACCTTACTGGATATGTGCTAGGCATACCATCTTAGAGTTTATCATTTTCATGGAGACAGGTTATTTAATGAGTGTTATGAAAGAAGAGACTCATCTTTCCTTCACATCTTAATATATCAAAGTTTCCTGATTTAAAAAATCTTACCTGTTGCATGGCAATAAGATATGGATGTAATTTGGGAAAATAGGGACTCAGATTTTTTGATGGACAGACTAACAGTAAATCTCATGGTTCGTTTTGTTTTGTTTTAGGAGAGAGGTATGATCTTCATAACAGACCTATTATATCTCTTTTCTGTTTTCCAATTTGGGGCTTGATAGTCTTTTGAGAAAAGTAATGGCTCAAACTATTCCTAGTTCTGGTTTGAATTTTAAGCCAACAGTAGTTAAACAAACTGTGATTTTAGTTTTATCGCATTATTGGCCTGGTTTTGCAAAATAGACTTCTGACCTTTCTTTAATCCTCCCCATCCTTCAACTTTGTTCTGTTATTTTGAAGGCTTGCTGTGGCTGCTGCTGCTGCTGCTTGTAATAATAATCATAGCATAATAACTAACATGTTATAGCATTAAAACATCTTTCGGCCGGGCGCTGTGGCTCACGCCTGTAATCCCAGCACTTTGGGAGGCCGAGGCTGGCGGATCACGAGGTCAGGAGATCGAGACCATCCTGGCTAACACGGTGAAACCCCGTCTCTACTAAAAATACAAAAAATTAGCCGGGCGAGGTGGCGGGCGCCTGTAGTCCCAGCTACTCCAGAGGCTGAGGCAGGAGAATGGCGTGAACCCCGGGGGGCGGAGCCTGCAGTGAGCCGAGATCGCGCCACTGCACTCCAACCAGGGCGACAGCGAGACTCCGTCTCAAAAAAAAAAAATCTTTCAAATACATTATGACATTTAAAATTCACTGTAAGCCCGTAAGGTGAGTATTTTCACTAAGCCCTATTTTACAAAAGACAACATTGAATTATGGAAAGGTTGTGTCCTTTATCCAAGATCACAGAGTCAGGAAACAGCAAAGCTAGCTAAAAACTACAGTCATCTGATCCCAAGGTCACCTCTGTACCCATAATGCCTGGCTTCACACACCTACTATGTCTTAAACAAAAACATCTCAACTATTATATAACCGTGTTGTACTTCCACGATGCTTCTCAATGTTCTTTTTAAAATCTATTTTGAATATTTTTGTTCATAATTTAAATTCCCTCCAAGCTTAACTAATAAAACCTTAACTACTACTAAACTGCCCTCCTAAATTCCATGTTTTAAACTTATTTTGTCTCATTCAAATAAGTTGTACAAACTAACACAGCCATATTCTCTTTTTTAACTTTTAATTTCAGGGGTACATGTGCAGGCTCGTTATATAAGTTAACACATATCTCAGAGGTCTGGTGTACAGATTATTTTGTCACCCAGATAATAAGCACACTACTCAATAAGTAGTTTTTTCATCTTCTCCTTTCTCCCACCCTCTACCCCCAAGTAATCCCTGGTGTCTGTTGTTCCCTTCATTGTATCCGTGTGTTTTTATCATGCAGCTCCAACTTTTAAATGAGAACATGCAGCATTAGGTTTTCTATTTCTGTGTTAGTTTGCTAAAGATCATGGCCTCCAGCTCCATCCATGTTGCTGCAAAGGACATGATCTCATTCTTTTTTACAGCTGCATAGTATTCCATCATATTTTCTTTCTCCATTCTTCCCATGACCCTTTTCGTTTACCCTCACAATGTCTGTGGCTCAAACAATAGTCAGAAACTTGAAAAATGTCTTATTTGCCATTAGGATGTCTATAAGGGACACAAAAATTATTCTTTTAAGTGATATACTTAATCACCATTCCTATATGTTAACACCAAAACAAATATTTCACTTTCAAATACCAACAGGAAAGAAAAAAGAATATATGTGATATATTATTTCTGGTACTTTAAAGTCTTCAAAAAATGCTACTCCATTTTAATAAAACATGCTCTTTCAACTGCTTTAGAAATAACTCATTTGTTAAACTAAAAAGGTTTACCAATTTAAGTCTTACATGATTGAATGTCATTAGAAGAATTTTCTTGGCACCAAAAGGAACACTTGATGGAAATCTATTGTCTTTCGTGCTTCTTGATATGTTAGGCACTCAATAATGTTGTCACATTAATTGATTTTGAGATTTTCAGCAATACTAGGTGTGCGTGGTTTCTTTTAAAAAATCATTACCAATTTACTGTTTGGCTAGCAAATGTATTTGCTTTGAATTTCACTCTCATCATGTCTCACAATGAACGTGCTAGTGAATAGTTCTGATAATTTGTTTATACATTGGGAGTACTTTTTAAAAATCCAGTGAAGATAGAGCACGGTATTTTTTTTTCAGGAGTTTTTGTTTGTTTCTTTGTTTTTTGGTTTGTTTTTACCAAACCCAGTCTGCCTTAAAACAATATTGTCAACTCTTCTCTAATATAAAACTTTTTTTTTTTAAGGTACCACCGTAGCACTCATTATTCTTGCCTTGGGATTTGTGCTATCAGCCCAAGTTTCCCCACGCATCACTTTTAAGCCAATAGCTCCGTCAGGTCAGAACGCCACTTGCACAAGATACAGGTGAGATTCCATTATGTTCTTCTTCCTTTACATGACTCTGGTAACTTTTTTGCTTGCTTTTAACTTTTTTAAAGTTGTAGAGATGAGTAGGAGCTTGCTGGGCATCCAGGCTTATGTAAGAAGGGAAGAAAATGGGAAAGGTGGTAGAGAGGGGCCCCTAGGAAGAGGAATAGCTTGTGCAGATGTGTGAGTGTAAGGAATTAAGGAGAGAGTGGGTTGTTAGACACAATCTTGGTGATGTTTCTCTGGAAATTAAAATTAGGGATTGATACTGAATCTAAGCAGGAATTCAGAAAAGCTATTTTAGATCATATACAATTCAGTCACCTCTGTGTTCCAAGCAAAGTAAATAACTTTAATCAGTAATCAAACTTTTACAAGATGCACATGCCCTCTGAATATTCTGACAATTTGGACTGATTTGCATGGCTATCCTCTTATTCATTTAAACAGAAGGAAAGTTTTCCCTCAGTACTGAGGCTCTTTCAGAGGATCAGGAAGTAAAAAGTGATGGTGAAAGAAAACAAAATGTTCTAATGGCTAGCTGCAGGCCTAAGAGCTCATTAAATCTAACAGTGTACACACTATGTGATAAATAGATCGAAAAGTAGATAAATGGATAGATGGACTGAGAACACATAAATGAAACTTTGAGTGATTGGACACATCGATTAATATATTTGGCAGCAGAGCTTCAAAGTTTTAAACTGGACTTTAGCCACCATAAAGTCTAGCAATCCCTTTAAAACATATAGATAGAATAAGACCTAGCCTTAACAAAAATGTATATTCCTTTAGCTTGAAATAGATGGACGCAAGTCTCAAATCAATGAGTAAATGATTTATTAACTCATACAACCCTATATGAAATTAAAACATTATACCCTAAACTCCACTTGGTATTCATTTAGAGCATCCAGTTGAGCGTGAATTTATGGTGGCTGTTCATTACAACAGTGAGGAAGATATATTGGTTCCAAATTGTGATCTATGTGCCTTTGGAAAATAGGCATCATAGCACGACTTTTATTTTACTGATAAGTTTGTTTATTATTGGCTCACTGACTTTCATAGTCTTTTTATTGTTCTAAGAAGACTTAAGGGTGTCTTCATAGTAGAAGTTAACCATAGCATCTTTATTTGGACATCTGCCTCAATTGCTAGAAATGCATATTCTACTTTTCTTTTTCTTGATGGATATTTTACTTATATGTTTTTAACACAGTTACTTTGAAAAAGTATTTTAAAAATTACTGTCATTTGAGAATCATAGAATATTCTCCAGATCTAATGTCTGATGTAGATGTATTGTTCAGAAATACTGTTAGGTCAACTAAAGTCAGAAAATCACCTAAAAATTATTAGAAAAAGTTCTTTGAACTTCTGATATAGGAAAGGAATGACTGTAAGTTTTTAGTGATTTACATAATGAAATAGTTTTCCTGACATTGACTTTAAAGTTTAAATAAAAATATTTATTGCCCAAGTATATCTCACTGCACAGCAGTTTATGATCATCAGTCTGTTAATCCTTATGATGTAAGGTATTATCATCTAACTCATATTTTAATATTCAATTTTAATGAGGTAAGAGAAGTGATACAGCCTACCTTTATTCTTATTACAAAAATAAGCAGCCATTTGTGAAGATAGAACCAAATTTTAGGTGTCCTTCGGGAGTCAGTGGATATGAAAAACAATTATTTATTGTATGAGTAACATATTAGGCTTTGTGGGAATTTGACAGTATGTATTTATAGTCTAAGTGATTTTGTAAAATATGGCTGCAGTCCGCTTACTGGGTTTTTATGGTTAAAACCATCTATAATCCTCTGCTCTACCAGCTGAGCAGTAATTGACTGTATTAGTTATTTTAAAATAACTAAAAGAGTAGAATTGGAATGTTCCTAACACAAACAAGTGACAATTGCTTGAGGTGATGAATATCCCCATTACCCTGATTTGATCATTACACATTGTATACTTGTATTAAAATATGACATGTACCCCATAAATATGGTCCACTATTATGCATACACAATAATTAAGAATAAAAACCATCTATATACATTTCCCCTTTCCTTAAGACAAACAGGAAAAGAATCACATAATACCTTAAGATGAGTGAAGTTCACTTTGTAAATGTAGATAGTATGCTTTCCCCATGGAGTGATCCGTATAGGAAAATTTAGCAAATGAAACAGATTTTAAAGGAGAAGTAGTTTAATATCTTAGTAACATCATATTCTATTCTATTAGTGGGAGCACAAATTGTTCTTCATTTTAGAAAGTGATATGGTTCTGCCTAATAAAAGTTAAGTGCCTATGTCCATTGACTCAGCACGTCCACTTGTAGAAATCTATAGACCACAGTGATGAGTATGCAGTTCATTCTTACTAGAGAAGATTTAAGAAAGTAAATGGTTAAAGAACAATGATTCTTCTTGATTTTAATTCAATAAATATTGGTTGCATACCAGGCCAAAAATATTGTAGGTTAGAGCTCCCTAATGACTTGAGATTCAAGAGATCGACAACCCTAAATAATTTTCAATGAGGACATCTCCTTTTTAGAATATTTTAAGTTTTTGATTGATAATGTATTTTCCAAGGCCTGATTCAATTCTCTGGACTGAATGTATTAAAGAATGTCTTTCAGAACAATGAGAACATAGGGACACAAGGAAGGGAACTAACTACACACACTGGCGCCTGTTAGGGGGCAGTGGTGGGGGAAGGGAGAGCTTTTGGATAAATAGCTAATGCATGCGGGGCTTAATACCTAGGTGATGGGTTGATAGGTGCAGCAAACCACCATGGCACATGTTTACCTATGTAACAGACCTGCACGTCCTGCACATGTATCCTGGAACTTAAAATTAAATTTAAAAAAAAACACCTTTTAGATCTGCTTTTAATAGATAAAAGTGTGCACAAAGATAAAGACAGATGCAAGTTGCTATAGAAAATGTTTGGCCACCTGTATAAAAGCTGTCATAGGGTCCCAGCTGCAGCTAGAAGAAATAACGCTAGCATGAGTATCATCTGAATCATATATCTTTATGAGAGTTCACACACATATTTCTTTTTTTCACACCCATAATTCCAATATGACCTTCAGTTCCACACTCTCAAATTACTAATGTTCTATTCCTTTCATTTCCAATTCAAAATATTTTCTCATAAGAGCTAGCCAAGATTTGAGGAATCAAACCTTTCCTATGTACGCTTCCCTCAAATACTTGACGTATTATTATTTATGGTGTGATCTCAGTATATGTAAATCACTATCATAAAACATTTAAAAGTAGACAGATATTTCCTAAAGCATACAGTTGTAGAATTTCAAGGTAGCCTTGCCCTAGGGTTTTTATCTTATTCACTTATTATTTCTTCATGCATCTAAATATATTATGGATCACCTACCATAGGATTATAGTAAGGATAAATTAACATATGGAAAATGCCTTAAACAGTGCTTGGCACATAATAAGCACTCAATAAACATTACAGTCATTGTTAGAATTAATAAAGCCTGTAATAGAAGATGAAGTTGGGATGATGGCACTCAGAGAAGATTACCTTGAGAATGGGATGTTTGTACTGAGCTCTTAAAAGAAGAGTGGAGTATGTCACACAGAAAGAATGGCAGGTACAAAGATCCTGCAAGGCAGTAAGGAACGTGGCAAGTGCAAGGAACTGAAAGAAGATGACTATGGGGTCAGAGAAGATTCAGATAAGACTATTAAGACAGATCAGAGCCAAATCATGTAGAGCCTCAGAGGTTTTTGATCTTCAGTCTAAGAACGTAAATCCATGGAAGAATTTTAAGCAGGGGTGTGCCTTGACCACATTTTGAATTCTAAACTGTCTCTGGGTGGGTGTGGGTGCCACCAAGAGCATGTGTTCATGTAGGGAGACTGGTTTTTTACAGTTGTCTATGAGAGAGATGACAGTTGCCTGGATTATGGTGGTGACATTGGAGATAAGCAGGTAGACAGATTCTCAGTGTATTAGGAGAGAAAAATCAATAGGAAATTTAAAATAAATAATTAACTGTGGCCATAGGAGGAAGGAGTCTTTGGTTGGTTCTCAATTTCTGCATGAGAAAAAAGGTGGACTAAATCATAAAAATAAGATGCAGCAATTGGAAGATGTAAGACCATGCGTGCAATTTTGGACATGTGGAATCTCAGGTGTCCATGAACCAACATCAGCTGGGATATTGAATAGGTATTTGGGAAAACTGGCCCGTAGTTGGAGGAGAGTTCTAGAATGAAGAATTATTATCCATGCATGATAATTAAGTCCATAGACATGGGCAACATCTTGTTCACAACTAAGATCTTTATCAAGACTCTAGCTACCTTTGCAATTCATAATCTATTTGTAAACCACTAGTAGTTTACTAATCAATTGGGCAGTATCTCTCCATTCTTCAGGCTTTTAATCCCAGCATAGAATCATAAGCTATTCATGCTGGAAGGCCTTAAATGTAACCTAATTCAAGCCTTTCATCTTACACCTACACTTACATCTTACTTAGTTTCCTTACTGAGGTCCAAATAAGTCACACTCCTCTCCTAGGGCACACAGACTAACCACCTATTCTTTAGGCTTCTCTTGTCCCCATACAGACCTTCCTTTTTTAGCTAACACAGTTCTTTAGGAGTTATTGTTAATATGAAACCAACGACACAACAGCTTCTTTTTCTATTCCTTTCAAACCTTGCTCTTCTTGCTTTGGACCAAGGACATGGTTTTTCTGTTAAGATGACTTGTACAATTAGGTAATTCAAGGAATTTAATGATGCCTAGCATATTACCTCTTTGATACAGATCTTGCTATATTTTAGACTCTGCTTGAGTAGAAATTGACAAAAGGGACTATGCCTCTAGTTCATTATACTTTTTCTTTTTAATACTTCTCAATTAAGGCCAGACGCAATGGCTCAGGCGTGTAATCCCAGCACTTTGGGAGGCCAAGTCAGGCGGATCACCAAGGTCAGCAGTTTGAGACCAGCCCGGCCAACATGGTGAAACCCCAGCTCTACTAAAAATACAAAAAAAAATTAGCCAGGTGCGGTTGTGGGTGCCTGTAATCCCAGCTACTCGGGAAGCTGAGGCAGGAGAATCACTTGAACCCAGGAGGTAGAGGTTGCAGTGAGCTGAGATGGTGCCACTGCACTCCAGCCTGGGTGACAAGAGGGAGACTCTGTCTTAAAAAGCAAACAAACAAAAACTTCTCAATTAAGAGTCTTAACCAGGGTCATCTGCAGAGGTACTTAAAGTCACCTGTTTTCCCTTTCCAGCGGTCAGCCTCACCAGGACAGTGGCATGTTGTTTTGAAATGCTCCCCAGGTGATGCCAGTACATCTTCCATTAAGAACCACTGCCATAATGCTATCACTTTTTTTTTTTTTTTTTTCAGAAAAAAAAAAAAAACTGCCAGCTTTCTTTCTTTTTCTTTTTTTTTGGTTTTTGTTTTGTTTTGTTTTTTGCTTCTTGAACATTGTTAAACCAAGCATAAGAATATGATCAATGTGGTTCTTTTTCTGTATAGTGATAGTTTCACATTTTCCTCTTCAGATGAAGTTCCCCAAAATCCAAATTGACAAACTGTGGCTTCATCTGTAGATGGTGGTGACACTGGTTTTGTGAAACAGTATGCCCCTCATAAATTAGTCCCTTCAAAGTTCATTTCCAATAAAAATTCATTTTGTATTCACTACACTGCCTTTTCTTCTCCTTTTGCCAGCCTTGTGTTATTTAACAAACGCATCATTAACATGAGCACTGTAAGACTGTCAGATTCGATCATAAAACTTTTATGCAACCTTAGAAATGTGTAAAAACGGTCGGGCACGGTGCGTCACACCTGTAATCCCAGCACTTTGGGAGGCCAAAGCGGGTGGATCATGAGGTCAGGAGTTCGAGACCAGTCTGGCCAACATAGTGAAATTCCATCTCTACCAAAAATACAAAAAATTAGCCAAGTGTGGTGGCAGGCTCCTATAATCCCAGCTACTCGGGAGGCTGAGGCAGGAGAATCGCTTGAACCTGGGAGGCGGAGGTTGCAGTGAGCCGAGATCGT
The DNA here is from genome assembly GCF_000001405.40 of Homo sapiens. Lineage (NCBI taxonomy): Eukaryota > Metazoa > Chordata > Mammalia > Primates > Hominidae > Homo > Homo sapiens. The sequence continues at coordinate 39,858,667 of NC_000012.12, read as the reverse complement.
GCCATTGCACTCCAGCCCAGGCAATAGTGCAAGACTCCATCTCAAACAAACAAACAAAAAGAAATGTGTAAAAACCCTATTAGCCCCTCTTTTTTCCCCAGTATTTGACATCCTGGTAATAGTGTGTTTAGCATCAGTAATTCATAGCATCTTGACAGTGAATATAATATTATGCTGTGAATTGAAACAACTTTCCATTTGTGTTAAACATTTTTTTTTCTTACTAATTTCCTATAAAATGAATCTGTTTCAATTTTTTTGGCATGGTGGCACAAGCTAATATACCATGAGGTTACTATTAATAATGCTACAGTAGAAAACAATGTTGTATGTGTTACTAATATCTACAGACCCATTGGAGATAAAGATAAATGTACATAAGTCAATTAAAAAGGAAAATGAAAGTTGGAACAAAAAGTCCACATAAATCTCATCCTGTGACCTTATTGCCAAATAACTGCACATATCTTTTGCTAACACTTAAATAAATACCCAGTGTGCTGAATTTGACACCTGGAGAGGATTCTGTCCACCTGTCATGGAAGGATACAAGAGCTTCTTGGAGGAAGTTTGCCATTTATGGGACATATTCTTTGAGTTCGCCATAACTTTTTAATTTTGATGCCTAGGCTTTTAGCCACAGACTTACAAATCCCCCACTTGGCAAGACTTGCTACCCAAACCTTGGTTTTTTGTTTTGTTTTGTTTTCCTATAGTCAAAAAATGCTTCTTGGGAAGCCAGAAAGACAAGAAGGAGGACTCAAGATTAGGTTTGCAAAGATGAAGGAAAAGCATTTCAGGGAGAGGGAATATCAGGGAATGTGTACAGGTCCTAAGCAGGGAGTATGGCTTCTTCAAAGAATTGACCAACAAGACTGGGTCATAACGAGCAAGCAAGAGAATGGCACCAAAATAAACTGGATAGCAGGCCAATGACAGAACATCTCAGGACCTTATACACCAGGAGAATTTTGGACATTATCTTAGAATACTGAGAAGCCTTCAAAGGGTAATAGGATGAGAATGACATTATCAGATTTGTGTTTTTAAAAGATCAGTCTGGCTGCAGAGTGGAAAATTGATTACAGACAGACAAATGGTGATGAAGGGAGAAAGGTTAAAAGAACTTAGTAGCCTAGGCAAGAAATAACGCAACCTTGATGGTGACAGTGGATATAGAGAAACGAGATATTTTGGAGGGGAATGGCAAGGCTGGGTGATTAGCTGGATAATAGATGAAAATAAATGCTTTAGAAACTGGAAAATACTTAGGGCAAGAGGAATATAGGATCCGAAACCTCACTGTGGTCTACTTAGCAACATAATTTTAGGCATGTAAATCTGGAGACCCTTTCCTTTGCTCTCAAGTTAAATACAACAGTCACATAATGAGCACAGTACTTAGTATTTTCTGTAATTTATATCCTTATTTGAAAGGTAATTTTCATTCCTTCTTGAACTTAAAAGACTTCTGAGAAAGGTGTTTCTGAGGTTGTCCATTTAGGTCTGAAATAACAGAACAAGATAAAGGGGGAAAAACATGTATCTCTGATAATCCATGGGACTTATATTCTTATTCTAGAACTCTTCATTGCAGTGAACACATGAAACCAACTTGGAGTTTTATTCCTGTTTCAAGTAAATCCACTTAAAATAGCATCTGCATAAACAAATGAAATAAACTATCCAGGACTGTGACAGCAATTGACTGGAATCAGCGTCTGGTGTATTTTCTTATAATAAAGACCAAGAAAACCTTACAGAAAATATAAATATGAAACAAGGCCCCTAAAAAACTTAACTATTCTTTAATTAAGTTTGTATGAAACGAAAACAATTCAGCTATTAACACTTAAAACACTCTGGTATGTTAAGTTGGAGTATTTCCCATCATGTTGTAAAAGCACGTTACATAACCTTGCTACGTGTTCCTTGTCTGAATAGTAGGAAAATACCTATTGCTATGGACCAAATGTGGTTTATTTAAAAACAAAGCATAGGGGCTGGGCGCAGTGGCTCATGCCTGTAATCCCAGCACTTTGGGAGGCCGAGGTGGGCAAATCACGAGGTCAAGAGATCGAGACCATCCTGGCCAACACGGTGAAACCCCATCTCTACTAAAAATACAAAAATTAGCTGGGCATGGTGGCATGCGCCTGTAGTCCCAGCTACTAGGGAGGCTGAGGCAGGAGAAACGCTTGAGCCCGGGAGGCAGAGGTTACAGTGAGCCGAGATCACGCCACTGCACACCAGCCTGGCGACAGAGTGAGACTCCGTCTCAAAAAATAAAATAAAATAAATAAAATAAAGCATAGCAAAGAGGTTAAAAGAACCTCTTCAGTGAAAGTAACTTGGAAAACTATGATTTTGATTGGCTGGGTGTTTGGGTGGATGGATGGATGGATGAATGGATGGATGGATGGATGGATGCATGGATAGATGGATGAAGGGTTGCTATTGATAAGAGAAGGTAGATGGTGCTGACTAAAGGAAGTTTTTTTAGTATAATTTTCATCCTGGAACTTAGGTATATGTGGCAAAATTTGGCAACACCTTGTTGCTATCCAAGAGTTGGTGATTTAGGAAGCATCCAAGCCTTTGTTTCTTCAAAGTTTACTTCTACTCATGGCTACAGCATGATTAGCAATACCTTCTATGGGCATGCTAGTAGACCCAGCAGTTCAAGCCTGCAGGTCTCTGGGCATAAAACAGGTCACATAGTGTTTAGGCCATCCCTCAGTGACTCTTTTAGATTGTTGTGTGGTGCTAATAAGATAGTGTTTTCCTAATATTAGTAAGTAAATAAATACCAAAAAATATAGGTCACATGTCTCTTCAACTGTAACATCCAGATTGTATATTGATTAAATTAGAAGACTAGAACAATGAAATAATGTATCCTGAACAACCTGGTTTTAGTAGCTGAAAGTCTGCAATTGTGTAAGTTCTATACAGCTTAGGAAATCGAAGAATATAGTACTTTAGAAAAAACATTTATGCACATTTGTAGTTAATTATTTTAATAAACATTTTTGAAAGTTGCAGTAGGCTGGGGTATTGAGATTTAAAAACAAACAAACAACAACAAAAAAAACAGCCTTCCTCCTCATGGAGCTCACAGCTATGAGGGAGAAAAATGCAGATACGTAATTGCAAAACAGTGTAATGAAGGCTGATAGATGTATCAGAGCATGACCTGGCATAATTCATTTCCCCAGGGCCATGACAGAAGGCTTCCTACATGAGAGTCCTTAAAATTCTCATTATTTTGGATCCTTTTATAGTGTTCTTTAACTGCATAAAATAAATTTTATAAAAGTACAAAGCAACTCAATTATATTGAAATACAGGTGCCAGAATACTTTTAAAAATAAACTTGTTATATAAAAGTACAAGGCAAATCAATTATATTGAAATACAGTTGCCAGAATACTTTAAAAAATAAAGTTATTAAATAGTAATGTATGTACTTCTTTATTAACACATTAAGTAACAAATATAGCCGCAAGTCTAATACCATAGTTTCAACACCATAGTGAATGTAAATGGTATTTGGAGATTTCTGCAACTACCTTAATGGGATATGAAAATATGTGACTTCTGTTGTTGCCAGTAGTTTACTGCCTACCTTCCTAACTGAAGGAAATGCTAAATTTCAGTAAAAGGTTAATGAAATAGAGATGTAATTTTCTTTTCATCCAAGTTTACAGGCCCCATATTAAGGACCCGTCACAGAGGAGGGAGCTTGATCTGATTTTTCAATGGTGAGTTGGAGTTTCTCAGACCAATGAAAATGGAGAAGCCACCCAGGCATGACAGCGAACTGTGCAAAAGCGGAAAACAGATTTGCCCTTCAAGAAAATTATAAAGCTTGATACTGCTGGAGAAAGGGCCACCAGGCACAGGATGATGCAGAAGGAGAGGAAAGGCCTTGGATACTAGGTCAAGGCTTGAGTGAGGAAGGGAAGCCAGTCAACAGCATCAAGCAAGGAGGGTACCATGATCAAAGCTGAGCTTTACAAAGAGTTTTCTGTGTGAGTTTTGGGATATAGATTGGAGGGAGAAGAGTCTGGCAGCCCCAGAGAGAGATTGTGAGAGTCTGAGATTATCTCATGATGGTAAGCATGAAGACAAAGCTATTTTTGGAAATATTACAAATAAATGTTAAAGGCAAAGTATGAGGGAAAAGGCGTTTGGGCAGGCAGTTCAATTTTATGAATACTCAGTGCCGATTATGTGGCCCCAGCCAATATACCTAGCAGGATGGAGGGGGCATAATTCTAAGCAGGCTTTTTATTTTAAAATAATAATAGTTTCTGTTAACTAAGCTCTTACAATATTCAAGTATTATTCATATTCTTTTTGAATATTACCTATTACCCTTAAACTTTCCTGAGGAAGATACTGTTATTATTATTATTATTATCCAATTTTACAGATAAGAAAACTAAGGATCAGACGGATTATATCATTTGCCTAAAGTGATGTAACTGGTATGTTGCAGAGCCATTTTGTTCTGTCCACCTGCCTCCCTTAGTCAAGCTAATGGCCTTTATTTTTTTTTTTGCTTATGTCAATACTATCCAAAGCCTGTGAATATTGTAGGAAATGCTAAGTATCAGTTACCCAAGAAGCAAAGAGAAGAGTTTTAAGCCCCTCATATTGAAGGGCTAGGTATTTAAACACTAGGATTTTATTTTAACAAAATACTGCCCTGAAAATCAAGTACCAAATGATGAAAATCACTAAAACAAGAGTTTTTAATGAAATTTTACCCTCACTACACATGCCATTTAATTGAACTAACATAAAACTCTTTCAGAGGTATTTAGTGGCCAAAGTTCCTTATGTAACATAAATGAAATTCTGGGTTGCTGCACAGATTCCTAAACAGATATAGATTATGGGATTATTTTCTTTAAATTTACTTCTGATCACTTCACCTTCTCAGCAACCCAGATACTGGCAAAGTGGAAGATAGCTTGATGAAACACCAGGCTGTAGCAGTCTGACTAAAGCTTTTACAGATTTCTAGGAAAATTACTTAACAAAAAAAAAAAGAAAGAAAGAAAAGGAAGGAAGGAAGGAAGAAAGGAAGGAAAAAGAGAAAGAAAGAAAGAAAAGAAAAGAAAGGAGAAAAAAATGTTGCCCAGCTTAGAAGTGAGAGGACTAGGTTTCCAAATCCCTGCTTTAAGACCTTGTCACAATTAGGAGCAATTCCCTTTTTTTCTCCCAGGCTTATTTTTGATTTTTTTTTTAAAGAGTGTTAGAATTTTGGGGACCCTGAGAAATCTGTCATAAAGATAGTATATCATAACCACTGTTATCTTTCCAAAGTATTGCCAAACAGCACTTAGATCACCCACAGTGGTTCAGCCTTCTGCTAGTAAGATGAGATGCCTTTATTTTCCACAAAGGATATCAAGCCCTGAACCCCACCCAGAGAGCAAAGAAGACACAGAGGTAGTTGCTTGCAAGTCAACACCATTCTTTGTGAGCGTAACTAGGCAATGGCTTTGTTACTGGTGGAGGATCTTGAATATGAGTTGTCCAGGTTCTTGGCGTTTTGAGCAAAGAATTGGACAAAACATACAAACAAAGCAATGAAGGAATGAAACAACAAAAGCACAGATTTACTGAAACAAAAGTAAACTCCACAGAATGGGAGCAGACTCAAGCAAGCGACTCAAGAGCATTGGTTACAGAATTTTCTGGGTTTAAATACTCTCTAGAGGTTTCCCATTGGCTATTTAGTTTACACCCTATGTGAATGAAGGAGTGGCCCACAACCAGTCTAATTCGTCTCGGAAGGCTACCAATCAGAGGCTGATGTTACAAAGTTATACCGCTATGCAAATGAAGACGAGGTCACAACCAATCTGATTGGTTTCAGGAGAGGACCAATCAGAGGTACTTTCCATTTTTCATCTGCAATGCAGAAAGGGTGGAGGTTACAAAGGGAGTAGCCTCTGATCCTTTTGTTCCTTGAGCGTGGAAAGTTGGGGTTTTCCTTTTGATTTAGTTCTAGAAGTCAGCATGAATCAGCCTTAGGTTCCCTGCCTCCAGACCCTATTCTTCTTCTTCACCTAGATATTCTAACCTTTTGTTACCTTCCAAGAAAAAATGATTGGTACTAGCAATGGGCAGCCACAGGTTTGTTATCTTCTGTGAGTCATGATCAATGAACAAGTCCTCTTTATTCTCTAAGCAATGCTAAAACACTAAGCAAACCAGTAATTTCTTGACAGATTTGTCACAGGAATTTTGTAAGCACTTTACATTTGTTACACTGTAGAAAGTACATGTGGATTTTAGTCTTACAACTGATTACAGTCATAATTTGTGTGGCAGTGTTTAGACAACTTTAGGCCCATAAAGGGAAATCTGACCAGCATTTCTCAGAACAATACCAGAGACGGGTCCATCTTTATTTCTCCCTTATGGACTCAGTTTGAAAACACGGATTCATGTGACTGGATGTCTGATCAAGATGCTGTTATTTACCATGCTAGTTATTTTATACAAACCTCATAACAAGCAGTATTAGATAATTAGAAATCACTTTATGCATCTTAACCTTACCCAGCCTCACACACACCTGTGTTTTAGTCCTTTCTAAACCACAAATCCCCTGCAACTGAAAATGATTCCATAACATTTTCCAACATTGCATTGTTCTGTGATGATAGGGTATAAAAGATATATAAGACATTGTTCCCATCCTCAGAGAAGTTTCAGTTTGTACAAAAGAAATACACACAATTGCCTATTATTTATATTTTAGCACAAGGGAAAATAATCTCATTTTTAAAAATTCTTGACACAGGGAAATAGATGGAAAATAAATTTTGAAAACTTATTTTTAAACCATGTAGGAGTACTTAATTTGCAGTGATCAATGACTCAAAGCTCAGCATGTCTTAAATATTCCATATTGCTAAGCAGCTGATAATACAAATCCATCCTTCATTCCGCTGCTTTTCTCTTGATGTATCTAGCATAATTGGTGTTTTCCTATGTGTGTATCTGAATTGCATATTTCACAGTTACTGTAGAAACCTATTACTCCTTGGCATTTAGCATGGATGATAATGTTGCTCCTTCAGTAATTTTAGCCTAGACCAAACATTTTTGAAATGGTGTTGTACATTAGGGCCATCTTGCTTATAGATTAATAAAATCACTAACCTTTACACTAAAAAAAGTGCACTGCTCATTTTTAATAATTATCAATATATAAAGTTATTGTCAGTTAAGAGTCAGAATGCATTTTTTAATTCTCATTCTTCCTTTTGTTTTTCTTCAGCCTAATATGATTTTTATGTCATAAATCCATTCTCATTAGTCTTCACAAACAGAAAAGTTATTTCATAAGAAGAACTGAGTAGCGTTTTTCTAATTTGTCCATTTTGGAAACAAATGAAATATTTATTTTAACTGATTAGTGTTTCTATAAACATTTAACTTTGGCTGGACACGGTGACTCATGCCTGTAATCTCAGCACTTTGTGAGGCCAAGGCAGGTGGATCATCTGAGGTCGGGAGTTCGAGACCAGCCTGGCCAACATAGTGAAACCCCATCTCTACTAAAGATACAAAAATTAGCTGGATGTGGTGGCGCACACCTGTAATCCCAGCTACTCAGGAGGCTGAGGCAAGAGAATTGCTTGAACCCAGGAGGTAGAGGTTGCAGTGAGCTGAAATCGCACCACTGCACTGCAGCCTAGGCAACAAAGCAAGACTCCATCTCAAAAAAAAAAAAAAATTAACTTTGTGGGGCCTAAATATTCAGCTCTTCCTGATATTTCATTTTTATCATTGTAAAATGGATACATTATTATGGCGATAGATATCTTCACAAAAATTCCGTGTGATATAATAAACATTTGAAATTGAATATAGTTATTCACTTCCTAAAACAACAAATCTTGGCCTGTGTAATCAAATTTGGCAAGAATATATTATCATCCTTATTCATATATGTTTTACAATTATGTGTTGTGCTATAGCTAAACACATAAGTAAATATCAATAAATGAATGTGTAAATTTTTGGCAATTACCGTATACTAATGTTGGCACAGATACAATTATTGTTAACTTTATTTTCATGTTCATATAACTTAAGTGTGTATGTTTTGGCTTGCTATATATGACTAGAGTAAAATTCAGAAACCTAAGCATCCTAAGTTAGTATTATTGCTTGTTATAGCTGGAATTTCAGTGTATACTAAAGTGATCTTCTTTTCTTATGCAAACTAACAATGAGTGCCATGGCTCAGTTCAACTGCAGAGCAATTACAAGAGGAGTTAATGCTATACTTTCTTTATATTTATCTTTTTAATATCCGGAGGCTGCCTTATTTTACTTAATACCTAGATTGTTGAAAAATATATCAATACAATAGAAAAACTCATAATTTTTAAAACTCACTCATCTAATTATGCATTAAAGTACTAACTCCTTTTCGGTTCCAGTAGCTACTTATGGACAAATCCACTGACTCCTTTATTATTGTGGAAGGCTTCCCAAGGCTGAGGAGAAAGGAGTTGGTTGGAGTCAAGCAGGCCAAAGCAGGGAACATGACATTGCAGAAAGAGGGATAGCATGTGTGCAGAAGAAAGAGAGAGCTTAACTACAATTTGAGTTGCCTTTTCAAGAAAAATGAGGAAAGACACAGAATCCATAGATTTTAAACCATAGGATTAAAGTAAAATTATATACACTAATAACAAAAACAGAAGAAGAAACAATATTACCCTGAAAGAGTATTTTAAAAAACAACAACAGAGCTTTGAAATCTCACCAGAAAAAAAAGAAGGGAGTAGCCATATAATGCAAAAAGTAAGGTAGGATTTTTATGACCTTGAAATATTAAAGCCTTAAAAGACAGAGACAACAAATTGAACAAATACTAGAAAAGGCTAAGAAATCTACACATAAATGAAACTCAAATAAACATGAATCTATGAGATTCCAAGAGAGACAAACTTGGTAATTATCCTGTCAGAGAGAAATTGGAGCAACAGAAATTGTAGCACTAAACAAAGAAGCTTAACTGCTCAGTTACTCTATAAGGAAGAGTCACAAAGGAACAATTTACCACCTCAGTCAGAGAAGCACTGAGTTAAGATAGAGGCAGTCATGAGCACCTCAATAAACAGCCTCACAAAGCAAAACAACCTTGACAAGCTAGAAAAGTCATCATCCTTGACATTACTGAGCTTCTGTCTCACAAATAAGAGGCAGGGGTCAGCCATTCTTCAGTGGGTGAGATTAATGGGATGAAGCATTAACTCTGAGACTTTTAGGTCACCTTTCATGCTGTCCAAGTAACTTGGAGGAACCAGTGTGCTCGCTAAATGCTGCATTCACCAATGCACATTGAGTCACTGGGAGAATCAGCATTACCAATTTGCAATCATATATATACAGATACTGTTAGGGACTCTTTCCCACTTGTTTTTCTTTTTTTGAATTTTTTTTTAAATCTTTATTTTAGGTTTTGTGGTACATGTGAAGGTTTGTTATATAGACAAACATGTCACAGGGGCTTGTTGTACATATTATTACATCTCCCAGGTATTAAGCTCAGTACCCAATAGTTATCTTTTTTGTTCCTCTCCCTCCTCCCACCCTCCCTGCTCAAGTAGACCCCAGTGTCTGTTGTTTCCTTCTTTGTGTTCATAAGTTCTTATCATTTAGCTCCCACTTATAAGTGAGACCATGTGGTATTTGGTTTTCTGTTCCTGTGTTAGTTTGCTAAGGATGATAGCCTCCAGCTCCATCCATGTTCCTGCAAAAGATGTGATCTCGTCCTTTTTTATGGATGCATAATATTCCCTGGTGTATATGTACCACATTTTCTTTATCCAGTCTTTCATTGAAGGGCATTTATGTTGAGTCCATGTCTTTGCTATTGTGGATAGTGGTACAATGAACATTCCCATGCATGTGTCTTTATGGTAGAATGCTTTACATTCCTCTGCATATATACCTAGAAATGGGAGCTGGGTCAAATGGTAGTTCTGCTTTTAGCTCTTTGAGGAATTGCCATACTGCTTTCCACAATGGGTGAATTAGTTTACACTCCTACCAACAGTATATTAGCATTCCCTTTTCTCCACAACCTCACCAGCATCTGTTATTTTTTAACTTTTTAATAATAGCCATTCTGACTGGTGTGAGATGGTTTCTCATTGTGGTTTTGATTTGCATTTCTCTAATGATTAGTGATATGGAATTTTTTTCATATGCTCCTTGGCTGCACGTATGTCATCTTTTGAGAGGTGTCTGTTCATGTCCTTTGTCCACTTTTTAATGGGGTTGTTTTTCTTTTGTAAATTTGCTAAGTTCCTTATAAATGCTGGATATTAGACCTTTGTCAGATGCATAGTTTGTAAATGTTTTTTCACATTCTGTAGGTTGTCTGTTTACTCTGTTGATAGTTTCTTTTGCTGTGTGCAAGCTTTTAGGTTTAATTAGATCCCACTTGTCAATTTTTGTTTTTGTTGCAATTGGTTTTGGTATCTTTGTCATGAAATCTTTACCTGTTCTTAGGTCCAGGATGGTATTGCCTAGGTTGTCTTCCAGGGTTTTCAGAGCTTTGACTTTCCCACTTTTCATTCTTTCATTTGGCACACATTACTGAATGCTAACCATGCACCAGGTACTGCATTTGTGCCAGGTGTTAAGGAAACAAAGCATGAGATATAGCCTCTCATCAGAAGTAGGAAATATCTTAGGTTTTTATTTACATTTTGAACCCGTACACAAGTATATATTTAGAGAGATGTTGGAGACTTGGGTAGACTTGCTTTTTCAGAATATATTCAAAAATAAGCCAAAATATTTTTTAAGCATTTGAAAAAAATACTTGTACCACTTGGAATCATGGTAGGCTGTATATTACAGAAGAACCCAAAATAACAGTGGCTTAAGCAAGGAAGAAGTCTTTCTCTCTCTCTGTCATGTGAAATAAACTCAAGGGTAAGGAGTTGGGGACCAATGTGCTACATCTAGTATCATCAGGCATCCAGGCTCCTATCCTTTTACTGTACCCATACAAATGTCTTTCATAAGTTCACCACATGGGCCAGGGTGGCTGCAGGAGTTCTACCAGCATAGCATTCCTGTGAAGCAAGCCAGAAGGAAAGGCAGAAAGAGCAGCTCTTCCCAGCTGAATCAGCTCCCTTTGAAGTCTTCCTGAAATCCCATGCAATACTTCTCATTGGACAGAATTAATCCCTTGGCCATATCTAGTTGTAATGTGAACTGGGAAATGTATTCTTTTGTCTAGCAGTCGGGAGGAGGGAGGTGGAGCCACAATGTGCCCAGTTAGGAATCACATTTCTCTTAAAAAGGAGGAGGGAAGAATGAATGTAGGGATAGGCCACTAGCAATCTTTGCTACAACAGTACAGCTAGGGGATATGTTAATTTTATGAGACATTTATGAGTGGTTCTGCTTGACAGCAGGAAGTACAAATCAATGGACCAAATAGGGATTCACCTACTTTCACGATTTAGTTCTCTCTGTGCTCATTAGAAGTCTAAAGTCAACTTTGCAGGTGACAAGAAATGTGGTTGTCTTAAATATTTAACTCTAGCTTTGCAAAGTAAAAGGAATCATTAATATCTCTTTCATTTGTCCTGTTTCCTTGGCCTTTGAAACCAGTGAAACAGCTACCTTTTGTTGTGTTTGTTCAAAATGAGTGATCTGAACAAATGAGTGATTTCCTTATCTTTTCAAAAAGAATGGTCACAGTATCTGCCATTTATTATATAGTTAACATTGTGTGGATCACTTTACTAAGAGCTTTGCATGGATTCTCTTTTATCCTTCAGAAAGACTGAGATAGATGCTATTATTTTCCCCATTTTACCAGTGACACTGAGGCTTAAACAAATTAAGTGAGGCTGGGCATTGTGGCTCATGCCTATAATCCCAGCATTTTAGGAGGCCGAGGCCAGTGGATCTTTTGAGCCTAGGAGTTCAAGAGCAGCCTGGGCAACGTGGCAAAATCCCATTTCTCCAAAAATACAAAAAATTAGCCACACATGTTGGTATGTGCCTGTAGACTCAGCTACTCAGGAGGCTGAGGCAGGAGGAACACTTGAGCCTGGAAGGCAGAAGTTGAAGTAACCTGAGATTGCACCACTGCACCCACCCTGGGTGACAGAGTGAGATGCTGTCTAAAAATAAAAATGAAGAAGTTAAGTGAATTTTAGAAGATCATATGGTTTAGCGGACAGCAGAACCATGCTTTAACTGAGAAAGATCTTTCTCTAGAATTCAGCCCTTAACCACTACCCTCTTCATTTTGAAATTTACCAATTAAAATGTGATGCTCCTATTGTCCAAGGGAGGGTGTAATGTACCCTTTGGGAGTGGACAGTAATTCCTTATGGTCAAAGGTGAATAATACCTATAAAATACCTATGTTGATATACTTTAAAGTATTCACCACCTTGGTTTTTCTAGAGCAGAACAATGATCTTATCTATATGGTTCTGAATGTGAGCATAGTTGAATATTCTAAGATGAATTGTTGATTTTATTTTGTTTTGTTTGGGCAATTGTTTTTAAGGCCTCTGTTACACAGGTAGATGAACATGAGAAAAATCATTGAAGACAAGAAGCAAATACAGATGAGCACTTACAAAGTAATACCCTTTAGGCAAATTGGAGTATATCTGTACAATCATATGAGAAAATGAAGTCCATTTTGAAAGCTGTTCTTTTCTAAGCCTCCTCCTTTAGTTAGTGAGATGAATTATCCATGTGAACCTGAATTTTCCTTGAAGAAAAGGACCACTGTGTGCTAACATTGGTATTTTGACCCACCCCAACACCACTTCCCTAATTCCTATTGGTTTCATTCACCTTGATTTAATTTTATGAAATTTTGTCAGTACAGTAGGGTCTAGTTGTGAGAGCAAATGATTACACAGAGTTGCTGGCATCAGAGGACATGATGCTATCTAGGGGGATGCCTTCAAGCTATCTCATTTCGTCTGTGTCACACAACACAACTTCCAACCAAATGTCATTCTGGGGCTCCAGGGGCTGATTGTTTCTTTCACCCTTCAGTAAAAACTCACTTTGTCCTCCACATTCACACATATAGTTTTTCATGAAAATCAGAAAACCTTCTAACCAACTATGCAAGAACTGAGAAGGAAAGCACTGTAAGTTAAAATGTGTTTCTTCCTTTGATTATGTTGTCCCTGTTTGAAACACTTATAATATGATAAGCCTAATGCCAAGTGTTATAGTGTTTGACAAAAAATGTAAAACAGATTTGGTTACCAAGGTTCTTTCTTGGTGCATAGGAAGATACTTGGGTAACAGATACAGAATCATTAATTACTGAAGCAAAATAGCACAAATGGGTCCCAAAAAGAGAGTCAATTTTAAGAAGTATTTCCTCAGATGCAGAAAAAATATAGAGTGCTCACTTTAAAATAACCTAACCTATATTTTATATCAACATAAAGAAAATATATTAAAGGCAACGTGACTGCCCATCACAAAGAATGCAGATACTAGATATTCAAATTTCAAGTTGTGATACCCCAAACAGTAAAAAGTAATTAGTTTTGGATAAAAGTTCTTATTTCTAAATTTATAACTTATAAATTATTTTTAACTTTATCAAGTGGTCACTTTAATTTTTCTTTTTATTTTAAAAGTCATGAATTTCCATTAGTCCATATTAAAAACTGCATAGTCTCTTAAATTCAATTGATCTAAAAATGAGTATTTCTAAAGCGTATTCTGTTGGAGACAGAATCCTTGTAATATTTCAAGCAAAAATTAACTACTTAAGAAACTAAGTAAATTTTTCTTTCTTTAGGTATTTCTTTATCTTTATTTTAATTTGTCAGATGAGGGAAGAATATAATTTCCAAAATCCATGAAAAGCTCAGACTGAGTTGAGTAGAGACCCCACTTGCTTCTTTCAGTCCACTTGAAGTAGCATTGAAAGCTGAGTGTATGACTATAAATCCAGTTGTGTTTAAATGAGTTTGATCTTCATGGATACTAAATACAAAACACTTTAGTCACAGATACCTCACTTTCTTGATTAATTATTTATATTTTATATGTTATGAATGCTTTCTTTTCTAAAAAGAACACTGAGTTGCTTTTGAACTTTTATTTTCGAACTCTGAAAAGTTTATACTAAAAATTAGGGAATATTTATGGGTATGCTACTAGGTATGGAAGGATATTTATGAGCCTCTTAGTATAAGAACTTTATCGTTACATTTTAAAATAGTACAATTCTAATTAAAGAATATGTACCTCAGTGCAGTGCTTACATTAAACTTTGACTCCATAGCTGTTACTATGACCCTAAACTGTGAAGTTAAAGGACTGTCTATCTACCCTATGCCTTGAAATTTTTAAAAGTTCTCAATAAGTAGAAAAGCTAGTGTTAGGAGTACTATTTAGAAATCAGCACCTGTTATCAGGTAACACAACTAGTTAACTATATTGGAAGGAGGCATGTGTGTTGCACAGCTTTTTAGGGACACATCAATGTTTATACAAATATGAAGAGAGAAAGTAAGGCTTATGTAAAGGAGTTTTCAGACAGTAATGATGAGCCCCAAGCAAAACTGTGTTCTTACCTTATTTTTATTTATCCTTTTTGGTAAAGCTCTATGACCTACGTGTGGAGTGTGTCACCAATATAATGATCAGTTTGTAATGCTTTGGGGGGAAAAAAGCATACTGATAACTTAAGACATGTGCCAGTAATCATATACTATAGCTCAGAACCAGGATGATATAGAAATAAGTTGAGCTGGTATAGCAGCCAGGATAGGATAGGCATTACTAATATTAAAAAACAATAACAAAATCTTTGTGGTTTAAAGCAACAAACAACTCTGCTTATATCTCAGATATCCAAAGTAATAGAGCCTCCACCATTCTGGGATGCCACCTCTCACTTCAAGGCTTCAAGATTTATCACAGAGGTGAAGCATAGAGCTGGAGAGTTGAGCACTAGCAATAAATGCTTTGGCCTACAACTATTATTTCATACTCTCATTGTATGGCCACATCTAGTCACTTGGCTACCCCTAACTTCATATAAGGAATTGTATTATAATTCTCTATCTACCTTGAAATGGAGGGCAAGTAGATATTGGTGAACATTATTTATATCTTTCACAATGTATTTGCTGATTTATTTGGGGCCAAGATTCCCTATTATTCTTTCTGCAAAAGGCCATATAAAATTTTCATTCTGCTGGCTGGATCACTACTGTAAGAAGTATTAATGACAGATAGGCTTGTCTTAGAAAACATCTTCTCCTTTGGTGATGCCCATTAAAAATGATAAAATTCTTCAATTAACAATTTCTAGCACTGATTTGGAAAACCTGACTCATTCTGTACCAGTATCATTGGTCAAAGATCAAGTACGAAAAAGTGTGCACAAACGAGTCTGTCAGTTTTTCAGAAAGTTAATATAAATATCATATGTATAGTTATATGACCCAGCAATTCCACCCTTGGGCATATACCCAAGAGAACTGAAAGCACGTATCTACTCAAAATCTTCTACACAAATGTTCATAGCAACAGTTTTTTTTATAAAACAGCGAAAAAACGTAGAAATAACCCAAATACCCCATCAGCTGACAAATAGATACATGAAGTGTGATATATCCTACAGTGGAATATTGTATAACTGTAAAAAACATGAACTACTGACAAATGCTATAATATGGCTGAACCACAAAAACATGCTGGGTGAAAGAGGCCAGAAACAACAGAGCACATTGTATAATTACATTGATATAAAATGTCCAGAATAGCAAATCCATAGAGACAAAGAGTAGATTCGTGGTTGCCAGGGGGTGATGAAAAGTGGGAATTGGGAAGTAAAGGATTTATTCTTGAGCAATGAAAATGTTCCGGAATTGGATAGTGGTGATGCTTGTAGAACTCTGAATTATTGAAATTTACTAAACTGCAAGCTTTAACATTGTTAAAATGGTAAATTTTATATGAATTTTATCTCAGTAAAAAATTTTTAAAAATATGTGCTATAGTGAGTGATCACCACTTTTCCACGTAGAACTTTCTGCCTCCATTTTACTGGGGAGTGTAACCATTGCCTCCTACTGTATCTTCACAAGACAATACAAGTTTCCAAATCTATCAGAGTGTCACATGTTAGTCACTATGCTGATCAGTTTTCTCAATGGCATAACTTTACATTTCAACAAACTAAAGGCTGAGTAGAAAAAATATCTGATTTGAAGTCAGAGAACCTTTATTAGAGACATGAGCAAGTCTCTTAGCTTTCCAAGCTTTGTTTTCTTCATCTGTGAAACAGGAATGCTCCTGCATACTTCACCAGGATACCGGAAAAGACCAGATGGTACAATATATGTTAAAGTACTTTCTGTATTTCTAATCTGGTCTTCTACTTTTAGTTTTAGCTTATTTTCTTTATATTGTTCAGCCTGCTTTCCTTTAAATAAACTTCCTGTAAAAATCTGAACATTGGAAGTCAACATCCTTAGGTTGGAACCCCAGCTCTGCCACATTTCAGTTATGTGACCTTGCTTAGGTAGTTGAACCTCTGTAAATCTGAGGTTTTTCTGTAAAAAGGGAAATAAAAAGCCTCCCTCATGATGCCAATGTAAGAATTAAATGAGAACATGTAATTATTTAGTATAGCCTCTTTGCATGGTAAACTGTCTGTGATATTAGCACAATAAGGCTCATGATAAAATTCACCCTCAAAAATCTTCATAGCTACAAATACTAGTCGACTTACTTGGTCTGTTTGCAAACCTAAGAATTTCAGTCTCTTAAGTATTCCTTCTAATTTTTCTATTCTGTCTCTTCAATAATGAATAATGTATATTGTCACCAGAGAAGATTAGTTACTGTTTTTTTCTCTGAAAAAAGCATGTTGCACACTAATTAGATTATATTTGTATGTGTTGATTATATACAAATTATATGCAAATCTGATTTTACTCTGAAAAGTATCAAGACTGAAAAAGTTATTTATACATGTATGTATATATATTATGCACACATTTATTTACCTATATACACATATGTATATGTATATAGATATACATTTATATACATGTTATCTTACACATGCAAAATTACAATTGAGGTTTTTAACTATGTTGATCAAACATTCATTCAGTGTAACAGAAAAACACTTAACCCCCACTGGAGTTGACAGATTTGGCAAATACAGCTCTCTTTTTCTTCCTTCTCCATTAGAGAGTTCATTGGTGCATTTTGTTCAGATGAAATGCAAGAACCAACCCAATAATTCATTAAAAGGATTAGACAATCAGTTGCTAGAAATTCCGGCCTAAAATACCAATATATGTTAAATCGCAAAAGCAAAGAAAAACCATTCTGGCTACTAGGCTAAATTGCTGCCTTTAACAGTGCTAGAGCCAAATGCTCAATCTGGGCAGGAGCCTGGTTGCTTTTAAACAGTAGACCTCACTACTATAAAATTTTTTGCATCTAACTCAGGAGTCAGTTGAATCTTAGCCTCAACGTGTAAGGGGAAGAGGTGAGAAATATGACTCTTTTACAGAGTTCCAGATGGTCATGTATGGATTTGGTCTGAGAGCCGTGAATTGTAAGGAACAATTCATGGTGTGATTCAAGCTTCAATCTTGTTATCTTCATGGACTGAAATGGAGAACGAGGTGTCTGATGGAACTACAGAGAAAGGGAACTACCAAATCTTCTATCAATATAAGTGACATTCATTCATCTCATTACTTACTCAACAGGTATTTATTGAGCACTTATGTATCAGGCAACATGGAAATCTCTAGGAATAAAAGCTGTACAGGGTCTTGAGAAGGTCACAATGCAGTAAGGGAAAGCAAACACAGCATGAAGCTGTTAAGAAATCATGGAATGCATGATAATAATATGAGCGTTTTGTGATACTCTGACAGTATAGTGATGCCTCTGATTCTGCTGGGGTCAGGAAGTTGCATAGAGGAACATGAGTCTTGAAGCAAAGGAAGTATAGGAAAGATAAGGTGGAAAGTAACATCCAGAGAAAACAATATGAGGAAAAGCATGAGAGCATGTCATATTCTAAATCCTGCAGTCTCTTTGGACTGGCTAGCACCCACGGCACCTATGGAGAAATGGCAAGTAGAGACAGGCAAGATGGGCAGGGGCTAAATGATGCCATAAAAGGAGTATGATTTTCATCCTATAGGCAATGGGAAGCTCTTTAGGATTTAAAAAGCAGAGAAATCTGATCAGGTTAGATTTGAGGCAGTGTAGAGAGTGGAGTGGACAGAGTCTAGAAGCAGGCCCCTTTAGAAGACTATTGGAAGAGCCCAGCTGAGAGATGGCTGGGATAAGAATGGAGAGTACAAGGCTGGGCGTGGTGGCTGGCCAACATGGTGAAACCCCAACTCTACTAATAATACAAAAATTAGCCAGGCATGGTTGCACGTGCCTGTAATCCCAGCTACTCAGGAAGCTGAGGCAGGAAAATCGCTTAAACCCAGGAGGCGGAGGTTGCAGTGAGCCAAGATCACACCATTGCACTCCAGCCTGGGTGACAGAGTGAGACTCTGTCTCAAAAACAAAACAAAACAAAAAAAAAGAATGGAGAGTACAGGAACTATACATGCTTGAGACATAGAATTGATAGAACTGGTAGCTATTTAAATATGAATGTTCTGCAATCATGCTCAGGTTTTTAGATTGGGAGACACAAAAGGAACAATAGGTTTGGCAAGAAAGCCAAAGATTGAGCTTTAGGTTGTTGAGTTTGAGACACTTGGAAAACATCCAGATAACTGGGCAATTGGAAGTGTAGTTCTGGCACTTAGAGAAGAGAAACAAAGGAAAGAAAGAGGTCATGGGGGCTCAGTGTATTGGTTATAGCAATGGTCATGTAAAGTTGATATTTCCCAGCAAAGCAATGAAAGTAGATGGCCCAGAACAGAAGCAAAGGAGAAAGAAAAGATGAAGATGCCACTATCTGAGAGGTGGGAGAAACAAAGGGAATAGTGTCAAGCAGCACAAGGGATGAGAACATTGTAGGAAAGAGGGAAAATTTTTAGAAAATCTTATCACCAAATGATAATAGTATGTTGGAAAAGTGCTCCGAGTTACCCATGAGACAACCACCAGCAATCTCTGGGAGAGCAGCTTTAATAGAGTGGAGAGGATAATTTGCTTCATGAAATTAGTACCAGTAGGCCCCTAGCCTTTTAAACTTGTTTCCAACTATTTACTCACGTGTCTAAGATTTTTTTTTATTCTCATGAGTTTCCTACTTACATGGTTAAACAGGGAGAGGAAATCAACCGACATCTATGCTCTGGCAGGGAAAGAAGGCAGGTGTTCCAGAGTTGTTTTCAGTACTGATATAGGAATCTGTCCTTCACGAGGCTCCAAGCAAGGCATGGAGTCGCTGTCCCGACTGGTAGTGGCGGTGTTCTCTGGTAAACCAGATTCCAAGTCACCTGCTGAAGCTGGTGAGAGCAGTGAGGAAGGGGATAGTAGAGTATGGAAGTTTGGGAATAGCTGTTAGGGGAAAGAGAGTGACATTATTGCACAAAATAGGTGTCAATTCATGCATAAAGAAGGAGTGAGTGAGCACAATTACCTGCAGAAAATGAAATTGGACCTGTGGCCATGGATCATTCCTACATCTGTGTTTGCCACCATTGATTTTCTGAAATTTAGGGCATTCTAGAGACAGGCATTTTAAGATCAAACACTGTTCTTAGTGCTCCATCTCATTGAGTTTAATGAGACATACTTAAAAACAAATGGACCGTTTTGCAGAGGGCTGAGTTCACACCCAGCTTCACAGAGTAGAAACTAAAAATGTTCTAAATTAACTCAAATCAATTTTTAAAAGATTTTCTGAGCTGAGAGCACATTTGGCCAAGACCCTGGGTGCCACGTGAAACATATAAACGATTGATTGAATGAAAATAGGCCATCCTTTCTCTTCCTTAGACACTAAGCAGCCTTTTGTCCTGCTCTTTTTTACTTTAATTGGAAGCATTTTTAGGTTTTAGAGCCAGTTTTGTTCTAAATATATGAATACTTACTTTTCCCCTTTCTGAAAAGTCAGAGATTTTCTCCCTTTCTTTTTTTTTTTTTTAATTTATTTTTTTTTATTATACTTTAAGTTTTAGGGTACATGTGCACATTGTGCAGGTTAGTTACATATGTATACATGTGCCATGCTGGTGCGCTGCACCCACTAACTCGTCATCTAGCATTAGGTATATCTCCCAATGCTATCCCTCCCCCCTCCCCCCACCCCACCACAGTCCCCAGAGTGTGATATTCCCCTTCCTGTGTCCATGTGATCTCATTGTTCAGTTCCCACCTACGAGTGAGAATATGCGGTGTTTGGTTTTTTGATCTTGCGACAGTTTACTGAGAATGATGATTTCCAATTTCATCCATGTCCCTACAAAGGACATGAACTCATCCTTTTTTATGGCTGCGTAGTATTCCATGGTGTATATGTGCCACATTTTCTTAATCCAGTCTATGATTGTTGGACATTTGGGTTGGTTCCAAGTCTTTGCTATTGTGAATAATGCCACAATAAATATATGTGTGCATGTGTCTTTATAGCAGCATGATTTATAGTCATTTGGGTATATACCCAGTAATGGGATGGCTGGGTCAAATGGTATTTCTAGTTCTAGATCCCTGAGGAATCGCCACACTGACTTCCACAATGGTTGAACTAGTTTACAGTCCCACCAACAGTGTAAAAGTGTTTCTATTTCTCCACATCCTCTCCAGCACCTGTTGTTTCCTGACTTTTTAATGATTGCCATTCTAACTGGTGTGAGATGGTATCTCAGAGTGGTTTTGATTTGCATTTCTCTGATGGCCAGTGATGATGAGCATTTTTTCATGTGTTTTTTGGTTGTATAAATGTCTTCTTTTGAGAAGTGTCTGTTCATGTCCTTCGCCCACTTTTTGATGGGGTTGTTTGTTTTTTTCTTGTAAATTTGTTGGAGTTCATTGTAGATTCTGGATATTAGCCCTTTGTCAGATGAGTAGGTTGTGAAAATTTTCTCCCATTTTGTAGGTTGCCTGTTCACTCTGATGGTAGTTTCTTTTGCTGTGCAGAAGCTCTTTAGTTTAATTAGATCCCATTTGTCAATTTTGTCTTTTGTTGCCATTGCTTTTGGTGTTTTGGACATGAAGTCCTTGCCCATGCCTATGTCCTGAATGGTAATGCCTAGGTTTTCTTCTAGGGTTTTTATGGTTTTAGGTCTAACGTTTAAGTCTTTAATCCATCTTGAATTGATTTTTGTATAAGGTGTAAGGAAGGGATCCAGTTTCAGCTTCCTACATATGGCTAGCCAGTTTTCCCAGCACCATTTATTAAATAGGGAATCCTTTCCCCATTGCTTGTTTTTCTCAGCTTTCTCAAAGATCAGATAGTTGTAGGTATGTGGCATTATTTCTGAGGGCTCTGTTCTGTTCCATTGATCTATATCTCTGTTTTGGTACCAGTACCATGCTGTTTTGGTTACTGTAGCCTTGTAGTATAGTTTGAAGTCAGGTAGTGTGATGCCTCCAGCTTTGTTCTTTTGGCTTAGGATTGACTTGGCGATGCGGGCTCTTTTTTGGTTCCATATGAACTTTAAAGTAGTTTTTTCCAATTCTGTGAAGAAAGTCATTGGTAGCTTGATGGGGATGGCATTGAATCTGTAAATTACCTTGGGCAGTATGGCCATTTTCACGATATTGATTCTTCCTACCCATGAGCATGGAATGTTCTTCCATTTGTTTGTATCCTCTTTTATTTCCTTGAGCAGTGGTTTGTAGTTCTCCTTGAAGAGGTGCTTCACATCCCTTGTAAGTTGGATTCCTAGGTATTTTATTCTCTTTGAAGCAATTGTGAATGGGAGTTCACTCATGATTTGGCTCTCTGTTTGTCTGTTGTTGGTGTATAAGAATGCTTGTGATTTTTGTACATTGATTTTGTATCCTGAGACTTTGCTGAAGTTGCTTATCAGCTTAAGGAGATTTTGGGCTGAGACAATGGGGTTTTCTAGATATACAATCATATCGTCTGCAAACAGGGACAATTTGACTTCCTCTTTTCCTAATTGAATACCCTTTATTTCCTTCTCCTGCCTAATTGCCCTGGCCAGAACTTCCAACACTATGTTGAATAGGAGTGGTGAGAGAGGGCATCCCTGTCTTATGCCGATTTTCTCCCTTTCTGAAAAGAAAGGCTAGAGATTGAAAAGTTAAATATTTCTTCTCTGCAGCTAGTAAGAAAAGAACCATTTGGTTCTAACTGTACTTGCCTGGACTCTAATTTCCTCTATTTGAGTTTCTAATATATCTGCATTCAGTTCCCCCAGCACTCACATCCCACAGTAGAGGAGCATCATTGGCTATTGTCTAATTTCCCCAAGGGAAAGGTGTCTACAATTGAGAAAAATAGTCTGAATTCCAGGCACACTTATTTACTACAAACTCTCTAAATATTGTAATGTCCTTTTACTATGAAATTTTGCAGGCTGTGATTTCAAAGAGAGCTCTTTCTTTCTCTGGCTTTTCTGTGTGGGCCTCAACGAAACTGGCCCTTGCTGCTGTTGTTGCTTTCTGAAAGTGAGTTATCAAAATTACTAACCAATTCCATTTTGGGTGTTAATCAAATATTTGTGGCTTTCACCACGTGGCAATTTAAAAACCAGGCTCAGCTTAAAATACCCTTTGACAATTGGTTTTGCCTTCTTTTTATTTCATTCTGAAAATGACTAATATATTTACGTCAATTCATCTACCCCCTAAAATTATTTTCCATAAACCAAGTACAAACTAGCATATGAACCTACAAGAATGCCTTGATTTCTAGAGCTGTTGTGCATTGGTTAATTCAATAAATATATATTGGTGATCCACCCTGCAGGGGGCTGCATGCTGTTCTACAGATACAGAGTTGGTAAGCATGGCCTTATCCCTTGGGTGCTCAGAATCTATTTTGCTTACCAGTCAGTAAAGAGCATTGTATGTTACAATGAGGGCCATCTCCATCAGCTTTACTAAATGTGGATTAGCCTGAAATTTAAACTGTGTATCAATAAGGAGAACTCCATTTTATTTAATTCATTCCGCAATTCCTTTTATAAAGCATAGTCCTTATGTAAATATCTTCATATTCATTTCTCTTATAAATGTAAAGTTTCTTAATGTAGAGCATACCTATAATTTCTGCCCTTGAAATTAGTATGTAAGAGTAAATGTTTGTGAGAAGTTGCAGCATTCTAATAGGTTTTTACACTGTTAAGGTTTGTGTGAATTTAGGGTTAGATCATAGGTATTTCTGTCTTTTTCTTTCATGTACAATCTTAGAACTGGGTGGATTGTTAGACAATGTGTGCTCTTGAGATAGAAAACTTTGAAGTCTAGAATTTAGACCTTAGTCCAGGTCACACTGTGGAAGGGGACAAATAGGCCTAATATCTGCTTTTCACCAAAATAGACCAAAAGAAAAGATTTTAGTCTATGCTTAGAGTATTCTTATGAGCATTGACTTTGTGCCAATGTATTTAAATTCTCAGTTTTTATATTTAGAAAACCTTACCGAAATTCATCAGGCCACGTTCAAGAAAGGCTTAAAGAGCAAATCTTGAGTGAAAAATGTAATAGCCATTCCTAGAAGTTGTTCCTTTTTAAAAATGCCATTGTTAAAGCTGTCGTTATAATACATGCTCTCTGTAAAAGGTCAATTAGCAGATTCCCCAGGATATTTAAAGTTTTGTGCCACCTTCTAAATGTCAAGTTGAAGTTGGGAATCTTGTAATATTTGGAAGAATTTTGCCATAAAATAGTCTATATGATGAAAAAACAATTCCAGGTCAAGGATGAAAGAGTGGTAGGAAATCTTGTCTTTCCTCCAGAAGACAGAGGCAGATAAGGGCTTAGTCCAGATTAGCACAAATACAGTTCCCACACCGAGCCCCACTCCTTGGAATGGAAAGGAAATTGAACACTTTTTGATACTTGACCTCCTTTCCCTGAACGAAATGGTATGGAGGGGCAGTATGGAGTAGCAGAAGGAATAGTTTTTCATGCTTTTTTAATAAAAGAAAGGCTTTACGCCTGCACATACACTATGGAGTATGTTTTGGGAGAGATTTGAAAGGATAAAGGGAAGAAAATAACTAGTGAGACTTGGTGTTGGTCCTGGTTATGGCCAGAGAAATGAAATTAAAAGTTTGGTCCATGACTTGGAACACTTGTTTTCAGAGCCTGGAGGAAAAGAGGTGAGGACAGATATGGATGTAGAAATCTTTGTTTCTGAGTTTAAATGTGAGAAAATTCATGCCTAGTCCCTTCAGTTTTTTGCTGAGAAGATGTAAGGGAGAAAAAATAATATCTTTTTTTGACCTATCTCAAGAGTCATAATGGGCATTACTGTAACAAAAGAGAGATTAACAAGAGAAAAGCATAACAAATGTATTTAACCAAAGTTTTATGTGACACAGCCTTCAGGCATGAAGATTGCACCCAGGGAAAACTATATATTTTTATGAACAGTTGTTGGAAATAAGAGTGGAGAACAAAAGGGTACGATCTAATAGTAATAACCTGGGAAGAACTCAGTGAGGCCTGTTTGTTCAGATTCTTCTTGGCCTCTGGATATAGAGAAGGAACCCTATAGACTGAGGGTCTTACGACCTACTTTCGGAGGATGTAGGTCAGAGATTTTTTTTTTTTTTTTTTTTTTATGACCATGCTTCAGAGGCAAAAGTGTGGAAAAGATTAGGGTGTGAGCTCCAAGGTGCCATATTATGGAGCAGCATGTTCTGAGCCCCAACAAAGACAAGGCCATCTTCTAAGAAATTTGTGGAGGAATAAGGATTGAGATTTGAAGAGAATTGTGGGTGTTTGGGAAATCTATCTATTATTGGGGACAGGAAAAGTTTCCTGGCAACAGTGAGTATCCAGCCAAGGTTGAAAACTTTGAATGTGTATTTGTATCAATATGCCTGGTTGTGTTATTTCTCTGCCAGTACAGAATAGTCTAGAGGTTGAAAAGTGTTCAGAAAGAGCCAAACATGAAGTTCTGCAGGGTGGCTTTAATAGAGAAACCTAAATATGAAGACATTGAGGATCTGGTGAGAGTGGTTAGAAGGATTCACATGAAGGTTCCATAGAGAGGGAAGCAGAGCCATGGAGTGAGTGAGAGATCAGTGGGGAATGAATGTTGAAGGTCTCTTTGAGGTAGCAGAGCAGTTGTTCTTGGAGTAAGGAAGTTAGGGAATTTAAAAAAAGGGCGAAATATCTCCACAGGGGATCTATATAGGTGTTCTAGATTAGGGATCAGCAAACTTTAAAAGGGCCAGATAGGAAATATTTTCAGCTTTGCAGGCCATATCATTTTTGTTACAACTTCTCAGCTCTGTCCTTAAAGCATGAAGGCAGTCATAAACAATAAGTAAAGAAATGGACATGGCTGTGTTTCTGTAAACCTTTTTTACAGAGTAAGTGGTACGCCAGATTTTTCTCAACAGTTGTAGTTTGCTGATGCCAGGTCATAGATGATAATAATTTCCAGGATGTGGATAAATGTAAGCAGAAGTAAAGACTTAGAAATCAGGGGGCTAAGAAACTTTAAGATGTGTATATTGACTAAAGCCATCTAGATCAGGATTTTTGAGAATCCGTTTGAGGCTGGTGATCATGAATTATAGAAGAGCTACTCATCTGCTCTATAGTGTGACTCCTTCAGCTACATTTGGCTGTGTGGCTGAAGTCACAGATAAGGCAAATGTTTGCATTCATATAGGGCTAGGATTTTTACCAGATGGGTATAATGGAATGATAGAGGAGAAGGGAAATTCAGGATATTGAAATGATGGGAAGTGGTCAGTAAGCTAAAGAAAGGAGAAAACTGATAATAGCAAGTAGAGGGGTCAGTTAACTGGTGATCATCAGGAGGTCTAATACCCAAATCAGCTTCACGAGGGCAGTGACTGTTTTATTCACTCACATGTCCCAGCACCTAGCATAGTGTGTGGCACATAGTAGGTCACAGGAAGATCATTTAATAAGCAAGCAGGAAAAGTGGGAAGTTGGGGTCACGCTTGGATGAGTGGTGGAGGAAGTTATTTGTTATGGATGACATCTCATATGCCTGAAATGCACACACAATAAGTTCTCAGTAATTATTAGCCTTTATCATTATGCTTTTTGAACTTTTCTAGGGACTACATATTTTCGGAGAAATAAAATTGAGAATAATTTCTCTGCAAATGAGTGAGTTGACCTTTCCCAAATGAGTATCATTTAAGGCCATTGGAACAATTAGTATTGTTAAATTTAACTTCATATGGGCAGAATACAAAACAAAATACTAGTAGAAATTATCTCCTTTCCAAATTAGCCTAGTCTGGTTCTCAAAGCCAGACACTCAGTGTACTTACTTCTAAAGCCTTCAGTTGTCTAGTTTAGTGTGCTTATCACCAGTGTGGAAAATTTTATATTTACATTGCTGAATCACCTCTCAGTACATTTGAATGGCCTCTCTTTTGCTTTTTGTCTAGGGCTGAAGTGTCATTCAAAAATAGGGGTGACTCAGGAAGAGTTTACAGGAGGGAGAAGGCTGAAATGATAACAAATCTAATTTTTAAACCATGCCAGTTGTGTTAGTCTGTTTTTGTTGTTATAAAGGAATACCTGAGACTGGGCAATTTATAAAGAAAAGAGGATTAATTGGCTCATCGTTCTCCAGGCTGCACAGGAAGCATGGTGCTGACATCTGCTTCTGGTGAGGGCATCAGGAAGCTTATGGTAGAAGGCTAAGGGGGAACAGCCACCTCACATAGTGAAAGTGGGAGCAAGAGAGAGAAGAGGGAGGTTCCAGGCTCTTTTTAACAACCAGATCTCATGTGAACTGAGTGAGAATTCACTCATCACCAAGGGGATGGCACTAAACCATTCATGAGGGATCTTTCCCCCATGATTCAATACCTCCCACCAGGCCCTACCTCCAACTTTGGGGATTACAATTCAAGATGAGATTTGGAAAGGACCAACATAAAAACCCTATCACCAGTGCTTTCATATTTAGTTACATGAATCAAAAAAGTGTTTTGATTTTGAACATTAAGAAATATTCTTTCATATCCTTTTCAGACAACTTGTATGTCTTTTGGATGTCTTTTTCAGATGACCTATTTCTCCTTTCACAACCCATAGTATCACGACTTGTACACAGTAAATATTTAATAAGTCTGTGCTGACTGATCTTTAATGACAACATAAGCAGTTCTCTGAAATGCCCTTTGCTCTACCTCTTGGCCTGGTAAATTTATTTTATGATTCGGTTTCAATGTCACATTTAAAACGGTTCCCAGCTCTCATCGTTAAAATGAATGGGCCCCTGTTCCAGGTAGCTCATACCCAGTTTCCATTACATTGTCGTTGTTCATCTGTTTCTCATTCTTGCCTTTTATCTACCAAGGAGCAGGGAGATTTGGGCTTATTCATCTTTAGTATCTCTGATACCTTGCATGTGCTTGCCATCTGTAAAGTGCTCCAGAATTTTCTGGCAAATGATTGTGTGACAGGGAGAAAACTCATTCTATAAGCATGATGTAGGCTTTAGTTGGCAAACCCTGCCCTCTAAAGGTTTTTGCTTCTTTAAATTTTTTCTGCAGTTAGAATACTGCTGTCAAATGAGCAATGAGTAACTGATTATGACTTTGTGATCCAATTAGCAGATGTGATTAGGGGATGGTTAGCCTTTGTTTCTATACCTACTTCTTTTAAATTCAGAATAATCCATAATTGATACTCAGTATATCTTTGCTGAAAGCACAGATTTCACCAAGATGTTAACAATGGCCATATTTGAGTAGTAGTATTTTTATTTAACTGTTTTCTTTAGACATAATGTTTTTCGTTGTTTGAATTTTCTTTTTCAGGATATGTATTAGAAAAAAAAACTATTTTCATTTTTTAAAATAGATGGTGTATGAGGTAGACAATTGAGAGAAATGAATGCTTTGATGCAACTTGGAACCAGTCAGGGCTGGATCACAATGAGGCAGTCTACAGTTTGGTAACAAATCTCAGTGGTTTAGGAAAGCAAAAGTTTATTTGCTCCAGATTGATGGGGACTCTTCTACATTCAGTCTCTCAGATCCAAGCCTCCTTCAGCTCAAAGTGACTTCCAAAGTTGCTGTGGCCAAAAGAGGGAGAAATCGAAGAGACCAGCCAGCTCTCACCTGGCTCAGCGCATGTCACTTTCCTTGGCCAAAACAAGTCCCAAGGCCCCAAGCTTACTGCACAAGAGAGTGGAAAATGCAGAGAAGCACATGGAATCCAGTATATGGTGAGCACCAGTTGTCTCTGCCAACATGACGGTAACTCTTTTCATTTTTCAGTTACTGTAATGAATGTATGTTGGATCCAGACTGCGGTTTCTGCTACAAGATGAACAAATCAACTGTCATTGACTCCTCCTGTGTTCCAGTTAATAAAGCATCTACAAATGAGGCAGCCTGGGGCAGGTATATCACTCATTTTACCATACGAATATATAATAATATTTCAAAACGAGGCTTATGTTTAAGTTTTCAGAGTGCTTGCACTTATAGCAGTTCTTTTAAACTGGCCTTCATAACTACATTACTTTGCAGCATATACTGGTGATAGTGGATGCAAAGCATTGCAATTGTGTGTTTCACACAGAGTAGAAAGCACTCAGGCCTAGACTTTTGGAGACCCAGATTTCTCTAATAAGGTATAGGAGTTTGGATCTTTAGTTTTAGGCAGCTATTCACAAATACTGCCAAGGCAATTTCTCCCACTGCATATTGTTTAATTGCACTGTATTTCCAAACTCCCAAGCTTTTAAATGAAAGAAAACTGTAAAGTCAAAATGAATTACTATCACGTTAGGTTGGGCACAGTGCATCACGACTGTAATCCCAGCACTTTGGGAGGCTGAGGCAGGCAGATCACTTGAGGTCAGGAGTTCGAGACCACCCTGGCCAACATGGTGAAACCCCACCTCTACAAAAATACAAAAATTAGCTGAGAGTGGTGGCACATGCCTGTAATCCCAGCTGCTCAGGAGGCTGAGGCAGGAGAAAGGAGAATCACTTGAACCTGGGAGATAGAGATTGCAGTGAGCTGAGATCAAACCACTGCACTCCAGCCTAGACAACAGAGCAAGACTCTGCCTCAAAAAAAAGAAAAAAAAAAAAAAAAAAAAAAAGAATTACTATCACATTACATTCTTTTATGGAACTTTTTTTTTTTATTCTTAGAGGCCTTTTCCAGGGTTCAGTGAAATTAAGCAAAATAAGGATAAAATTTGGTAGTCATTGGCATGTAGCTGGCTTGGGAGGCTAGAAACCTTAATGTTTTTGGTTTGTAGTACATGCATAAATGAAATATTAGTATAAAATAAATATTCTCCAGATTTATGAACTAACATTTATATCCAGACATATAAAATGTGTAAATGTTATCTGATATGGCTTTAATCTATTTTGTGTTTTAAATTCCTATAAAAGAATATTCTCTTATCTTGTCTACTCATAGTACTGATAAAGGCAATGAAATCTGTAATAAAGTATTGTGTCTCATAGGAGCTATAAAGTATAATGCAATAATTGTTTCATTAGAGAACTGCTCCAAAGAAGTAAATTATATGTTAGTTGAGTAAAAATCCAGACCACATTTTAAATATACTAATTACAAAGAAATATGTAAAAGAAATACAATTAGTGTTTTAAATGAACACTCAAAAGAGTTTCTTTTAAAAATACTCAGTTTATAGTTCTTATCAGCCAAATTTTGTTAGTGAGTTAATTGATTAAATATTTCTAGATGTACTTGTTCACAGCTTTAAACCTTTAGAGTTTTGTTTTTGCCAATAGGAAAAAAAAAAAACTAAGTTACTACTAGTCTAGAATTATAAACATGTTATGAAATCTGTTAAAAAAAGAAATGTACATAGTTTCCTGTATTTTACATAATTAATTTATAAACTTATTAGAACTCTACTAAGTAGTAAAGAGACACTAAAATTAGATGTTTCTCTTACCTTCAGTAGAAGAGTTAGAGGTCAGAGGCCTCAAAGCAGGAGTTTTGGCTTTTTTGCAAATAACAAATCATACAACTTTTTAGTAGAAATGTTTATTCCTTTATTTCAGAAAAATTAATTCAACAACTCACTCTTACATTTTATTTGTATTTTTATACCATCATCCTGTAACTGCACATAAATTAGAGAAAAGTAAGGCACAGATAACTAAGTAGCAAAAATAAAAATAACTAAAAAAAAAATGATGTTCACAGCATATCCTTACAATAGTCTCAAACTCTTTACAAAAAAAGAAAGAAAAAAATGTTTTCTTACTCCTCCCTGTGCTGAGCAACGGTGCTCCTTCTAGGTGGACCACTGCTATTGGTTACCTCCTTAGTCTTGGCTAGAAAAGAGCAAAAAGGCAGGATGTGTTCACCATGAAAAATTCTTCAGATAGATTTTCCACATGTAGGTAAAATAATATTCAGTATATATAATAGTATTTTTGTTGGTTGATTGGTGGTTTGGTTGATAGATTTTATACAATTACCTGGAATGGAACTCTAAGGGCAAAGTCAACCATGACCTTGGATTCCCATCTAGAGATATACTATCTCTAGATATTTCAAGGTCGAGTGTTGAGGCAATCCATAGCCATATATCCTGATCTCTAACTGTAGCTGTTTCCTGAAAAGACACCAGGTGGAATGGCAACACCATTAATGATGGAAATAGTATAATAATGTTGATGAACTCTGAATTGTCAATATAATGAAAATCATTTGTACATATAATCAACTATGAGATTAGTTGGAAACAAAACTTCAAAGGTCCATCAGTATGGTTTTCTATATCTATGTTGTTAAATTTCAATGAAAACTTAAAAAAATTATTTAGCAGACTTCTAGAAAATGTAGTAGACTGAGCTGCTGCAGGAAAATCTCCTCCTGCCCATAACCTCCCCCTACACCTCCAACATGCATCCCACACACATACAAGTTTAATGCACAGCAGAACTTGAAAGAAATCCCCAAGCGTCACAAAAGAGTGTAAGTGGTGAGCCCACATGGGAATATTAGAAGCGAATATAAGCCTTACAGGTGAGAGGTTAGAGTTTTTAATGCTGAGTGAGATAAGCTCCAGGCCTTGCCTCTGTAGTTACAAAGCACTATCCAGGTTCTGAAATAGGGACAAGAAAAAATCTGGCTAGACTGGGCTTGGAAAGCTACCTACTTCTCTGCTGCTCATTTGGGACTACAAATGGAAATAATGGTACACATGAAAAAGCAAAACCAAGAGCCTTTGCTATGAGGGAGTGTGTGTTCTCATTTCACACTGCCTTTGTGAAGTGGGAACCATGAGTTGAGAAACGTAAACAAATAAATAAATTGAATGAAAAGTAGGTCCTAAACTGGAGACATCCATAGAGGCATGTTAGGAATCCACATGGAATTATCAGAACCCAGTGTACATGAGATGTCCATGGGAAGCAACTGTTGGTAAATACAGGAGGACAGTCAGAGAGTATCAGGCTGGTGCAAAAGTTAACTGCGGTTTTACCATTACTTTTTGCCATTAAAAGTAATGGTAAAACCACAGTTAACTTTTGCACCAACCTAATAGAAACGACACCAATTATTGGAGGCAAGGAAGCCACCAGGTGTGACAGATGGACAAATGAATACATAAAGAACCTTGCATTGCAAAAAAAAAAAAAAAAAATTGAAAGAGACTTTAAAAGAAATAAAGGAAATAGTGTATTTTTCAATTATACTGAAAGTTATATACTTATGATTGGTGCAGTATATATGTGTATTTTATATGACATATATATGTGTTATAATTCAGCAATTTTGCAAAAAAAAAACTTGGGAAGCTGAAATTTTAGAGAAATGACATAGGATGTGGTATGAGAACTTTTAGAAAAAAGCCTTCTAATGAGTTTTTAAAATTTTTCTGCTTTTTATTTTTTTTCAGAAAGAAATTGAGATTACAATTAGTTTTTCAATTTGTTAAATATAGATGTTACAAGTATAAGAGTAAACTCTTAAAATATGAACTGTTAGAGGGAGAAATAAGAGACTCAAAGTATAGTAAGAGAAGAAGGGGCAAAAAAAAAAACCCAGAAAAATTACATCTAAATATAACTGTTTTTACAATAAAAAATAAACCAATTAAACACAGTTGTAAAAGACAAAGATCTTCATATTGAATTTTTTAATACAGTTGTATGCTGTTCACAGGAGACAGTCACAGAAAGGTTAGAAATACAGAAATAAGAGGAAAGAAAAAATTAGATAAGTACTAAGTCAAAAAAACAAAAACAAGCAGAGACTATTTAGAAAATTTACAAGCTTGATAGGAGAGTCAAACAGAACCTAAAGTAGAGAATGTCATTCTTTTTAAGAAAACATGGAACACTTCTGAAAATTTACCATGTTCAAGCACAAACAGTAAATTCAGTAAGCTTATATAAATGTATAGATATTTCAGTAAATTATAAGTAAATCCAAATAATCAGTATCATCCAGAACATGTTTTCTAATAAAAATGCAATAAAACTACAAAACAACAGAAAGATATTTATCACCCCTTCTAGTTTAGCTGGGAAACTAAAATAAACAAAACACCCAAAAAGCAACTTCAAATTAATTAATAGGTTTAGAAGAAATCACAATGCAAAACAAGATGTTAAAATTAATAACTAAACAGATCCACAAGAGGTTAGAAGTAGAACATAGAGTAAGCCTGTAGAGTTAGCAGAGGATGGGAAGTGCAAAGCAAAGAAATACTCGGAAGGATCAAAAAATAAAAGTTCTTAAAGAAGACTAATAAAATGTGGAAACCTCTTGCAATACTAATCAAGAAGAGAGAGAAGGCACAAACAATATTTAGAATAAAAAAGATGTATAATAATGGATAGTAAAGATTTTTAAATTCATAAGAGAATACTATGAACCGTGTTCTCCAGTGCATTTGAAAACAGATAAATGGACAGTTTTCAAGAAAAAATGTAACTTTCCAGAACCAATTCCGAACCTCTGTGAAGTAAGTGATTTCTATACCCTACTTACAGATGAGAATAGTGTCGCTTAGAAGGTATGAATGACTTTCTCAAAGTCAAAAGGCCAGTAAGTCCACTTCTTATAGGGGAGCAGCAACTGAGTAGTGGAAAGACACACATTTTAGATTCAGATAGTTTCCAATTTCTAAGTTAAAGAAAGTATGTTATTGACAAATCAGGCATTAGAATTTTTTTTCTGTATTTATCTGTGTCTATTTATCCGCCTCCCTACCTCCTGACTCTCCATATATACAAAACCTTAAATAATCTATTCTGAAACTTCAAACCTCCTGACTATTTAAAATAGTATTGCTAATGAGGGACACTTTCTTAATGCGCTGATTCAGTATTTGTTTCCTATAATACAGCACTTTAGCTCTGTAATTAGAAACACTAAAATAGCTAGATAGATTCCCTATTTGGCAATTCATTGTTTACCGTATTCATTCAGCAGAGATATTTTTCTCAAAGCTGCACTCTGATGTAACACCCAGCCTGTTTTCCCAGCATTTCACCACTCTCCCACACAGATTCTAGTCAGTTTAAATCCCTTGTCATTACCCTAATATCTATTATAATTTCCTGTCTCTATGTCTTTTCTCACACTGTGCCTTCTGTCTAGAATTTACCCTCCTTGATCTCTGCCTGAAGTCTATTTTATTTTTTTTGCTCAGATTAGATGTCCCTTTTTCCTTGCAGTTTCTGTGATAAGCCCCAGAAAACAATGCTTATTCTATCTCCTGCTGCCCTCTAGCACTCCCCTGGATGTAGCATACTATGAGAGACATTTCCTGGCTATAAGATGAATGATAGCTGTAAGTCCTACTGGAACACCTCACAGGGCTGACACTATGTGCCACTTAGCAGTAGCAGTGTGAGGCAACCTGGCCTGGAGATTTCCAGGAGACACGTCCACCTCAGTACAGATGCAACTCTTACAAACCTTTAAACAAAGTTACCCTTACAAGACTAGCTTAACCTCCTTTTATGAATGAAAGACCTGGTAACTGACTCCGATTGAACACAGGTATAAGAAAGGGGAAGAATCCCCCAAGCTCTGAGAATAGTCTCCAGATGGAGACCCTCTTGGATGGGTGGTCATCTGACCCCTGATTGAATCTGGCTCATGCCACCCACCTGCTCCCATTATCCAACTTGTAAGAGCGCTGCTAGAATAAACTGCTGATGTTCAATATCAGTCGGTATCTAAGTCTCATCTTTGATGTGAATCAGACCACATTGGAAGAAAAATTGCCACTGGGGAAGCCAGTTAACTAGGACCATTCAAAACCCCTGAATAATGAATGATACCTGTATAGTTTATATGATAATTATATTTTTTATATGATAGCCATCTGTGTTTGAATGTATATTTGCTTCTAGATTATAAATTCTAATTTCTATATTCTGCATTGTTTTTAAACCTTTGGTGTTTTATAT
Organism: Homo sapiens; assembly: GCF_000001405.40. Classification (NCBI taxonomy): domain Eukaryota; kingdom Metazoa; phylum Chordata; class Mammalia; order Primates; family Hominidae; genus Homo; species Homo sapiens. Next base: position 39,824,072 of record NC_000012.12, on the reverse strand, counting down.
ACATCAAGTATTCAATCCATACTTATAAAAATATATAAGGGTTTAAAATTATCACAGTTATAAATGAGAGGATATGATGTTCCAGTCACTTCATTTTAGTTACATCTTTTGCATCCATACTTATTTCCAGGAAAGGAAACTTAGGAAAAAATTGAAGTAATGCAATTTACATTAACACAAAGATTTTAATGTTTACCTGTAGTAATAAAAACACTAAAAAACAATTTAAAAATAATACTTAACCATGTGCTTCAGTATATCACTGCAAAAATATTGCTTGGAGCCATACTTTGTGAAAAACACTTCTTAAAAATTATTGGAAGAAGCCAGGTGAGGTGGCACATTCCTGTAGTCCCAGCTACTCGAGAGGTGAAAGCAGGAGGATCACTTGAGCCCAGGAGTTTAAAGCCAGCCTGGGCAACATAGCAGAACTCCGTCTATAATAATAATAATATCATCATCATCCTGGCTAAAGATTATTAGAAGAAATATTCAGCATATTTCCTGAAAATATTCACTGATATGCCAGGGAAGCAGTTCATCTATGGTGATAGCATAAGACCAAATGTATTACAAAACTATATCAAATAGCAAAAACAGAGGGAGTTTTCCTTTGTAACCTCTTTAAAATTTTTGAAAAGAGATATCACTTTTGTATTTAGAAAATGAAATTTATTTTATCATTGACAAACCACATCAGTATCTTAAGGTACTCATGTACAGGATTGATGTATTTTTATCAGTTAGTCACATAAGGGATAGAAAAACCTCCAGCTGTGTTCCTAAATTAATAACAATGTAGCTCAAAGTTAATTTTTACCAACATAAATTTTATAGAGAGAAGTATAGTGTCTGATATAGAATATTTTAATCCATTTGACTTTTAAAATTATACTTTTTTATGTTACTGCTTAAATAGAAGTCATTATGGTAGATTATTCTCTTTAGTATCTGTAGCTGCATGTTATGTGTTTGGAAGTTTCATCTACCCATAAATAATTTCAGAGATCACATGCCTCTAGGCTGTTACTTTTTCAGGTTCAGAAATTTAGACTCCCTTGGATTTAGTGACTATATTGCAGACTCGGATACTATTTATGTTGCAAAGTCTACAAATCAAAAGACCAAAACACTTCTGAGTAATTTATCTCCCTCGTCCATATTAATTTATCGAATTTCTTACTTGACATTTAATTGTAATAATAAATAAACACTTGTTAACAGTTTTATCCAAGTAGCGATATTCATAATATATTTAACTACCTTTCATTTTCAGTCAAACTTAATATTTCTAGTCAACCCATGTTCCTTTTACATTTTTAACATTTTTCTTCATATTTCCTTTGAAAAGTAGACTGTGAGTTATTTCTCACTAAAGAAGATTAAAGAAGACTAAGATTTTTATTATAAGGATAAAAGCCAAAGCTTGAATTCCATGTGCATGGTGAGTGTAAGATAATGGTGGTGAACCTTGGTTCATCAAACATTGGGGCAAGTAAGCATCAGAAGGTGTACAGCAGAGATGAAGTCTGGGGAGCTTGGAATTTATTAAAAAGGGGGCTGAGAAAGTAATGAGAACAAGAGAAAGGAAAATGCGTGGCTGGTGCCAATACAGTAAATATGAGTTTAGATCAGATGGTTAAAGAGCCTTATTTAGATATTTTAATTTGTTTTTTATAGATACATTTTCATAGGCGTGGGAATCATATTGCCAGTGATTTTAGGTGAATGGCTTTATGTGATACCTGGACATGGATAGGATATTGTGTCACATAGTGAGTTAAATATTTTCAATCTGTGAAGAAGAAAATCAGTTGGCTAGCATGATTTTAACACTTGGGCAGGAAACGTTATCTTGGAAATCATCATTCTCAGTAAACTATCGCAAGAAGAAAAAACCAAACACCGCATATTCTCACTCATAGGTGGGAATTGAACAATGAGAACACATGGACATAGGAAGGGGAACATCACACTCTGGGGACTGTTGTGGGGTGGGGGGAGGGGGGAGGGATAGCATTGGGAGATATACCTAATGCTAGATGACGAGTTAGTGTGTGCAGCGCACCAGCATGTCACATGTATACATATGTAACTAACCTGCACATTGTGCACATGTACCCTAAAACTTAAAGTATAATAATAAAAAAATTAATAATATTCTTTTCATTCCATTTTTATTCAACTATCTTCTATTCTTGGCACGTGTGATCGATTGTATTATTGTTCAAAGTATCTGCTACCACTCCCAAGGGAAGGATTGTATTTCCCTGGCCCATTCAGTCTTATCCACATGAGCTGTTCTGGCCAAGGAAATTAGAGTGGAACCAATCCCTGTCATTTCTGAGCCAAAGCTTTAAGGCATGGAGTTTTAAACAAGGATTTGCCACGTCCTCTTTTCCCTCTTCGGTATAGTTCACCATGTCCTAAAATAGAAGGTGTTCCATTAGATTTGGTCACAGGGTGAAGAAAATGTGGAACAGAAGCATAACTGACCTGAGGTAGACCTGTGGTGTGAGCAACGCATTAAGCTTGGGTTTTGTAAATCCCACTGCAATTCGCTCTCTTTTGTTACTCTGACATAATCTATTCTCTTCTGACTGATATAGCAAGATACCCTGGATTCTCCTGTGGAAGGGCACAAAAAAAAATTTTTTTTTTTTGAGACGGAGTCTTGCTCTGTTACCCAGGCTGGAGTGTAGTGGCACAATCTCGGCTCACTGCAAGCTCCGCCTCCCGGGTTCACGCCATTCTCCTGCCTCAGCCTCCCGAGTAGCTGGGACTACAGGCGCCCGCCAACACGCCCGGCTAATTTTTGTATTTAGTAGAGATGGGGTTTCACCGTGTTAGCCAGGATGGTCTCGATCTCCTGACCTCATGATCCGCCCGCCTTGGTCTCCGAAAGTGCTGGGATTACAGGCGTGAGCCACTGCGAAAAATTTTTTTTGAGTTATAAAAGGAACTCTAAAGAAAACCATTGAACAAATAATAGTACAGGGCAGTGAAAGAAAGGGTAAAAAATTATGAAAGGAATTGCCAAATGTCATGAGTTTGGGGAGCAGTGCAGTAGGAAGTAGAAGTTTGGGGAACACTGCAGTAGGAAGTAGAGAGCTGTTAAGGTTTTTAAGTAGGGGCTAATGTGAGTGGCTTTAGGTTCAGGAGATAAAATTCTGATATAAGAAGGAAGAAGGAATTGTAAAGAATTTTATGAAGAACAAACAAAGGGCAAGGCATTTGGAAATATGGTAATATAAGGGATATAGAAGAATGGTGCTTGCATTTTTACATGTTGCTTTATATATATATATATATATATATATATATATATATATATATATATATATATATATATATAAATTTAAAAATTTAAGCCGAAGATTATACATGCTGCTAGGTCACAGAAAGAAGAGCAGCATTAGATATCCAAATAATCTCAGGAGGTTTTTTGCTGGACAGCATAAATGAAATAAAATTTGACCATTCAAATCAAAGAACCGCTGCCTCTGTACACATCATTTGGTATCCAGGTCCTTCCTACTCTCTTGGTTTCAGTGCTAGTTTTATAACATAAACAAAATAGTTTTCCACTACATGCGATCTGGGTTTACAACTTGTGTAGTTTGTACAATAGCAATCCATGTTTTAGCATTGGAATATGCATAGACATTCATGAACCAATGCCAATCACAATTCCTACAGTTTGAAAACAGTGCCAAAATGGCAACCTGAAAACTGTGATAACACAAAACTCTGTGCTCATAATTTCTAAGAAAAATTCATTATAGTGCCCTTCACTCTGTCTTCACTTGCCCTCTGTTAGGATGAATGCTGTCTTATTTTATCTAGGAAGTTTATTCTTAAATAGTTCCAAGGATTAACCAACTTTATTTTCATTTCAGAGGCACATGTTTCCTGGAACCCTCCAAAAATTACATTTTTTTTCTTTTTGTTGTCATTTATTTGGTAAATGAGTTATAGGGGAAAGATTGGATTTAGAGCTGTTCTGCATGGACAAACCCATAAATATTAATATTATATTTAATTATTGGTAGGTTGGATTATATAACAGAATTTAAACTCTGTTCACATTGGTATGGCATTTATACCTGCAAAGATAAAGAGTTTTTTCTGTGGTCATTTTATAGGATTGAAATTTGACATTGTGCTACATGCTATTAAAAATGTATTATTGGGCAGTGAACACCCAAGTGTGCTTTATAGTTCCTTTGGCTTTGACTTTGTGCTAGAGCAATGTCTGTTATTTTTCTCTGCATTGAAAGGAGCATTTATCCTTTTAAATGTATTCAGAAAGCCAGTACATTTAATTGAAAGCATATTAAAAAGACTCAGACATTACTCCCTAAGATTTATAATCTAAGAGGTAGATTGTAACATTTACACACGCATACTTCAAAATTATTTTAAAGAAATGAATGTTCCTTTTACAAATAGAGAAAAAAAAGTATTTGCAGTGTATACTGCTTAGTGTCAAGGACATTTGAGAGAAAAGGTAAATGAAAAATTTATTGTAGAATGTGTAAATTTGGAGTGAGTTTTAGAAATCAGCCCGGGCTTTTAGGAACATCAAATAATGGAAGGCTTGATAAATAAAAGTTTGTAGTAAACTATGGGACAGAGCACTTCAGATACAAGATATGGACTGTAAATCTGTAAATATTTAAAGATTATGTATTGCCACCTTAATATATTTTAAAATAATGTCAAAGGTCCTATAACTGTGACTTAGTTTAACTTTCTATGACATAAATGAGAAAAAAAATTCTCCAAACGATAAAAATATTTGTAAACCATGAATTTATTTTGTGACATTTTTAGGCTCATAAACATATGTCATATATTCCTTATTGTTCTTGATGAAAATTTCATTTAAGGCTTAAAAATGAGACTGCAAGTGTGATACATGGATATCCATTTACTAAACAATTTCAACCATCATAACTTCTGAAGCCTCAGAGATAGGAACCTGTTTGCTTATATAACTATACTGTTTTCCCTTCTGTGGGGTGCAAGCGGTTGTCTGAAAACTATGATTGACAGTGGAAAAACATCTTCGTTCGTTTAACATTGAGTTTTTGGGAAATACTTGATTATGCAGACCTATGTTGTTTTTTAATTAATTGGCTTAGGAAACAGGCAATCGGAATTCTGCTTGGGACAATCAGGGAAGGAAAGGGCCAGATCAGAGTTAAGTCAATATTTTATATTTCAATTTTTATACTTATAACAATATTTTATATGTAGAAACTTTTCTACATCTGTGCCTTCAAACTGTAGTTGTTATTGGTATATGAAACATCTACATTTATTCTGCCTACTTAATTGTTCAACAAACTTTAAGAACTTTCTGTATAACCTAAGATAGTATACCAAACCTTGGTATTTATAAAAACTTGGGGGACATCAGCTAGGACAGTTAGACACACTTGAAACAGAATTTCAAAGGTGATTACAAAGCAGAGATACATGCTGACCTTGGGCTATGTCACATAAGCTACTTATGTAATTAGAACTTATAAACTTACGTAATTAGCTACTTATAAAGTTAGAGTTAAACAAAGAAGGTAATTACTCAGAGCATCATCTTCCCTGCTAGCTCAGATACTATTGTAAGCTCTTCACTGATTGATAAGAGATCCTATCTGATATCTTGGTAGCAGTGGACATTTTTGCAAGTAATTCTCAATTATTATTACTTTGCTTCTTTAAATAGAAATTAAGAAGGTACCGATCAGTATTTAATGTCTTCTCCCCCTCCCCCCAACTCATTTTTTTTTTCCTGTGACTTCACAGAAAAGTTTCAAAAATCAACTCCTCAGTTTTAGATGTACATGACTGGGGGAATCAGATGATTTTAGGAACTCTGTGGGTATTTAATAGCTTTTTCAGTTAGGCTTAACTGTGAGAAGGGATCACACACCTGGGGATGTCACTTGAGTCAGAGGAGTGGCCCAAGGGGGCTCTCTGGCAGTGTAAGAATGCAGGAGGTAAATTAGGAAACATCTGTAGAAGTTAAAGAGCTGGAAAGTGTTACCATAAAGAGATACTACTTGAAAGGACAAAGCAGAGGAGAAACTGACAAAATAGAATGAAGAAAAACAGGGCAGACCTAGACAAGTTCAAGGAATGTGTATCCTGGAAGCTAGTTCAGGAAACAAGAACACATAGCCTCCTCTGTAGTGAGTATTCTCATTTGTGGATCTCTCTTTGCTGGTCAAGGAACCGTCTTTGAAGTAAGCAGAATTGCCCCGGGTATACTGACAAAGTCCTGATAAGGTTTATAGCTTTGAGTTTTTCTCATAGATTTAGTGTTTGGCATCTGCATACGTTGGCTATAGATATTTTAAAATATATATAAAGTATGTAAAAACTAAGATGACTACTAACTGAAATAGTAGTTACATTTTATGATCTACTGTGTACAGCTAACTTTTTCGTGAATATAGATGAAGCATTCTGTATCTTTGTTTCACTAACCCCCTTAGCTGCCATCAGTTGCCTTTCTCAGCTGGCCTCTATAAAAGTTTGGTGTTTTATGATGCAAAAGTTTCATTTCAGGCAAGAAAATCTCTCTGCACTAAATAAGGAGTTGATACAATGTAAGTTACTAAGAGCCTAAATCTGTGGAGCAGATGACCCACAACTAGAAGCCAGCACACCCCATCCTAAATGGAAACAGTAATGGAACTGATCATTCTGTGGATTTGCCTGTGACTTGTAACAGCAGTGTAACCTTGTCTAATGACCTCCTGCATCCCACCCTAGCACACCACATGGACCACCCTAAAATGAGCAACCCGGAATTGGTTATGAGCTACTTTGAGTCTTTCAAAAGAGACTTTCTAATGAATTTGTTGAGTACTCCTGTGAGAGATGTTCAAAGAAATTAGTACACTTTTTCCCAATACTATTCACTCTTATCTTCCAACTTAAAAAGTTGAATGAGATGTTCTCTGTGTTTTTGCTGTTATGAAAAGAGAAGGATACAGTCACTCACCACCTACCTATTTTTTTTTTCCCTCAAGGCATTTGTGGTTCTTGGTATCCTGAAAGTGGGAATGACCCAACCCACAATGGGATAACACATTTGCCCAAGATAAAAGGAAATGATAAAGCATACCCAGTGTATAGGATGTAAAAAAGCTAAAAATATCTGCTTTTCTAGGCATTTTTATTAGTCTTTCAAATTCTTAAAATCTTTCAAATGTTTAGAATTCTTCTGAATTCAGTAAAGCATTGCTTTTCACCAGCTTATCACCAAGAACTAAGGATGAAGGCAAATGGTGAGAGGTTCTTGCAGCATAACCAAAGGAGACCCATGAAAGGACAGGCTTATTTGTTTGTTTTTCATCCTAGTGTTTTATTTTTAAAAATTAAGTGAATTTTCCTTTATACCCTAAAATACAGCCATGTCCAGCTTACTAATATAATTCTTGTATTACTTACCCTTGATTTTTCTTTCTTTTTTTTTATTATACTTTAAGTAAGTTCTAGGGTACATGTGCACAACGTGCAGGTTTGTTACATATGTATACATGTGCCATGTTGGTGTGCTGCACCCATTAACTCGTCATTTACATTAGGTATATCTCCTAATGCTATCCCTCCCCCCTCCCCCCACCCCACAACAGGCCCCGGGGTGTGATGTTCCCCTTCCTGTGTCCAAGTGTTCTCATTGTTCAATTCCCACCTATGAGTGAGAACAGGCTACTTATCCTTGATTTTTCTAGGCAACCCAACCTACGGCCTTTCATCTCATCTCATCCTTCACCCCATCAGTGAGAAAAGGAAATTTTTGTTTGTAGAAGAAATGTGCTGTTTTATTCTGTAGCACATCAGTACCTGTGCTAATTTGAGAATCATAACTAGCGTAGATCCAACCCAGAAACAAACCCCAAGTTCACAAAACTTAAAAAGGAATAGGCAAATTCTAGTTGAAACTGTTTCAGACCTCAGCTCACTATCAGCCCAGAACATATTATGTGCCTCATCGATTTAAATGTTACCGTTAGGATTTGGTGGACACTGTAAGTCTAGAGAATAGCTAATTGAATAAGACTTGAACATCTAATTGAATTTCTTGAACAAAATGTATACTCAGAACAGAAAATATTTCAGAAATCTATGACTTCATAATGTCACTGGCTCTGAAACATTAACACACTACTTTTCCAGTTTTATTTGGCTATATTTATTTGACAATTGGATCTCTTTTATAGAATGTTGTACTGTGCTATAACTTAACAACTAAAACAACATTTATTTGTTTTTTCCAGACTGGGAATGTCAGAATTGTGTCATTGTAGCTAGCATATATCAAGATACTTTTCAGCTATTGCTTCAAATGCTCTATTTTTCCCTACATGCCCTTTAGTAGAACTGCTTTCCAGTGCTTTTTCTATAACCAATAATTATTGCATTATGGTTATTTTTATCCCCGTTCGCCTCTTACCGTCCCCCAAACTAGAAACTTCTCAAGGGCAAAGTTGGGATAATGTTGTTCTCTCTGCCAGACGTTATGCCTGGACACATAGAAATCTCTCAGTGCATGTGAATGTTAGTGAAAGGATAGTAATAGGTGAAAAGAAAGAATGCTCCAGCCTACGAGTCCTATAGCTGTTTTGACAAAGAACCTGTTCGATTTATTCTTCCAAATGATTTTATATCATGTGGAGAAGGCCAGTCTGTTTGAAAAACTTGTAGTAGAAATGACAATAGTTAACAATAAAGGCCAGACCATCACCATATCCAGTACAGCTCACAGTATTCTCTGCTTTATTCTGTTTTCTCTTTTTCTATTTTTGATTCATATTTGGGCATATGGGATTCAGGAAGTTTCTTTCAGAAAGTCTAAAATCAATGGGAAGCTTAGCTCTGGTATAATGTAGAGAATACTTGCTGGAATCCAACGACTTTGATTTGTGTCTGGACTCAGTAACTGACCAGAAGATGGCCTTGGGTCATTTATTTTACTTCTCTAATCCTTAGTTTGCTGATCTTTAAAACAGAAGAAAGTAATAACACTAGATCTTGCTTACCATCTAAGATCACTGAGAAAGTCAAATGAAAAAAAAAAAGTGTAAGAAGAATTCATAAACTTGATTTAATTTTTTAAAGACCAACTTAAAAATCTCAGCTCCACAATCTATCATATCTTTCTGCCTTATCTAAGAGGATAAAGCGATTGATAATGCATATTGTGAAATATGCATAATTGTGATAATGCATATTGTGACATATGCATAATTGTGATAATGCATATTGTGACATATGCATAATTGGCAAATGTGAAATTTAAAATTTCTTTCTTACTAGTGTTGAGCTAGGCCTTGAAGGATAGGCAGGGTTTGTATATGCAGGGATAGCAGACGTAATTGTATGAGATAACCAAATTTAGTAACTGACAGCAATTTATGTTTTTCCTCTCTTTAAAATGTGCTTTTCCATTCTTAAGTATGTATTTTACCATAAAAGAGGAGTTCCTTTTTTTCTACCAAAGCATTCTTCAGTTTGTAAGAACTTTTATCTATTAATTTTTGTTAAATTGTATACAATTATAACAGTGTTTAGCATTATCAGAATTTTGATTTTAGTGAGCCAGTGTGTTACTTGATACAATAAAGATCAGCTAAAGCCTTCTTGTGTTGTTCTTAAAGGAATAGATGTTTTCTCTTTACTCTCTATTTGGAAAAAGTTTAGGCTAGTTTTTAAAAACAGTACAAAGAGGAAATTATAAGTACATAATTCATTAAGTGTCTTTCATAAGCTTATTCCTCCTAAGCTATTACACTTGCTGTCTACATCTGTAGCTCATTTCCTGGGGAGGTAAAGCAATGACATTAAAACTCCAGCAGTACAATCTACATCAGAATGGTTGATTAACGTTTTGAAGTATTATCCCCAGACCTCACATTTTAAATTAATTTAATTCTTAATTATCACAAAGAAAGAAAAGAGTATGGGCAAAAGTGAAGAGAATATTCAGAGCAGTTTTCCTCGTCTTGAAAGATATGATTATAGTTTTACAGAATTTGGCAATACAATATAGATGAAGTAATATACGAAATCACTCATACTGGAAATTGTCCAAGATTGAAACTTTCGAAATGTGGAGTTATCCAAGATGTGACTGTGTAGGCTTCAGACAGTTTCCAGGAATGACATTCTTCAGCGTAAAATGGAAACTCCAATTTTAAAATGCCTGTGTAGGGGTTCTGTTCAGTTAATATTCCCAATTACATCTTTTTAATTGCTATTTTAAATTTTAAATCAAATGGAACTCACATTGAGATTGTAGATGGTAGTGGCTGCAGCCGTGTTTCAAGTCTCCCTGAAGCTTCTTCATCCCCCACTACTCCAATAAAAACAGACAGTTGGCAAGGAATGGGCCTTATTTGAATCTTGATTCAAATGAACTGAAAAAAGTCACTTAAAGACAACCAGGAAAGTGTGAACAGTGATTGGCTGTTTGATGTTCTTAAGAAATTATTGTTAATTTTTCAGGTGCAGTAATCATATTGTTATATATTTTTTAAGTCCTTGCAGAGATACATACTGAAATAGTAACAGATGAAATATGGTATCTGAAATTTGCTTCAGAGTAACCCAGGAGAGGTGGATTAAGTGACAATTTAGATGAAATGTCATTGGCCATGTGTTTACAGTTGTTGAAAGTTTGTTATGGGTACATCCGGTTAATTATACTATACTCTCTACTTTTGAATATATTTGAAAATATTTGTAATAAAATAAAATTTTGATGTATGTCAAAATAAATGCTGACCTAGATCAAAGACAAAAGTATTTTTAAGATAGCTAAGAAACAAACAGAATAGATAAAATGGAATGCAAAAAATATCTAATTAATCCAATAAAAGAAGTTTTAAAGGGAGGGCAAAAGTAATACTATAGGCTGGGCACAGTGGGTCACGCCTGTAATCCCAGCACATTGGGAGGCCGAGGTAGGTGGATCACTTGAGGCCAGGAGTTTGAGACCAGCGTGGCCAACATGGTGAAACCCCATCTCTACTAAAAAAAAAAAAAAAAAAAAAAAAAAAATTAGCTGGGCATGATGTCAGGCGCCTGTAATCCCTGCTACTTGGGAGGCTGAGGCAGGAGAATCACTTGAACCCAGGAGGCAGAGGTTGCAGGGAGATCACACCATTACACTCCAGCCTGGGTGACAGAGTGAGACTCTATCTCAAAAAAAAAAAAAAAAAGGTAATACTACAAACTAAATGTTTGTCCCCCCACCCCCTAAAGTCATATGTTGAAATTAGAAACCGCCAGGTGCAATGACTCACGCCCGTAATCCCAGCAGTTTGGGAGGCTGAGGCAGGTGGATCACTTGAGGCCAGGATTCGAGACCAGCATGGCCAACATGGTGAAACCTCATCTCTACTAAAAATATACAAATCAGCCGGGCGTAGCCGTGGGCGCCTGTAGTCCTAGCTACTCAGGAGGCTGAGGCAGGAGAATCGCTTGAATCTCAGAGGCGGAGGTTGCAGTGAGCTGAGATTGCACCACTGCACTCCAGCCTGAGCAACAGAGCAAGCATCTATCTCACAAAAAGAGAGAAGGGGAGAAAGAAAGGAGAAAGAAAGAAAGAGAAGAAAGAAAAGGAAGGAAGGCAGGAAGGAAGGAAGGAAGGAAGAAAGAGAGAGAGAAAGAAAGAAAAGAAAAGAAAAGAAAAGAAAAGAAAAGAAAAGAAAAGAAAAAAGAAATTAGTCCCAATGTGAGGATATTTAGAGGTGGGGCCTTTGGGAGGTGATTAGGTCATGAGGGTGGAGTCATCATAAATGGGATAAGTGCCTTTATAAAGGGGCCCCAGATAGATTCCCTCTTCCATTCTACCATGTGAGGGCACAGATGAAAGATGGCTATGAACCAGGGAGCAGACCCTCACCAGACACCAAATCTTCTTGTGCCTAGATCTTGGACTTCCCAGCCTCCAAAACCCTGAGAAATAAATTTCTTTGTGTAAGAGCCATCCAGTCTGTGGTATTCTGTTATAGCAGCTTAAACAGACTAAGACAAGTAACAAAGTTGTTTCTTTTATGAGATAACCATAAAAGAAACAAATTAGAGATTTAAACCAACTCTATTGGTAAACTATGTTAAAATAAATTGTTTAGAAACTCCAATAAAAGACAGAAACTCCAGTAAAAGACAGAGTTGTCCAATTAGACATGAAAACAAATGCAACTGTCTGCTGTCTAGAAAAATGGGGATGGAAACAGACATACTGTACTAACACTAATCATATAAAGCTAGAGTGCTTTTGTTAATATTTGACAAAGACTCCAGATTAAGGAATATTATCAGAGATTAAGAAGGATGGCTTATAATAAAGTGGCCAATTCATCAAGACATACAATTCTTAAATGTATATTCCTCTAATAATAGAGCTTCTTAGAAATCAGTAAAAAAAATTTTCACAAAAATTACTAAATATTTGAATATTAAACAATACATTTCTAAATAACCCATGCTGTAAAAAAGGACATCACAAGGTAATTAGAAAATGTTTTGAAGTCAATGAAAATGAAATTATAACATATCAAGAACGTCAGGGGACAGCTAAAGCAATACTTAACAGCAAACTTATACTTTAAAATAAGTATATTAGAAAATTTTGAAAGGTTTAAAATCAATTACCTAAGCTTACAATTATGAAGCTAAAAAATGAAGAGCAAGTAAAACCCAAAGTAATTAGAAGGAAAGATATAATGGTAGTAGGAAACAATAAAATAGAAAATGTAAAAGCAATAGATGAAGTAAATGAAATCAAAAGGTAATTTCTTGAAGAGATCAATAAAAAGCAGATTAAGTCATAGCTGGACTCGTTTAGGGAGAAAAGGAGACCCAACTTTCTATTATTATAATTAAAAGAGAGCACTTCTAATAAATGGAGAAAATTCCTGGTGACACATATTTCCAAAAGAAATAGGAAAACTAAATCATCTATTTAAAAAATCAAATTTGTATTAAAAATCTCCCCACAAAGAAAACTGCATTGGTGAATTAAACCAGATATTTAAAGAAGAAATAATGCCAATCCTATATAAACTCTTTCAGAAAAGGGCAGAGTGGGGGAAATTTCCCAACTCATTTTATAAGGTTGGTTTTATCTTCATTACCAAATCTATCCAGAAACTGCAAGAAAGAAAAACTATAGATGAACATCGCAGTATCTCCCTTGTATACAGACAGAAAAATTCTCAAATTGAATCCAGCAATATAAAGGAATTCATGGTTGATTTAACATCTGTATTCAATGGATGTAATTCATTATATTAAGAGAAGAAAAGAGAAAAATCATATGATCATCTTAATACATACAGAAAATAAATTGATTAAATTCCTAATCCATTCATGATAAAAACTCTCAGAAGGCTGGTAATGGAAGGAAACTTCCTCGACCTGATACATAACATCTCTTAAAAACCTACAGCTTACATTATACTTAATAGCAAAATATTATTTTCCCTCTAAAATTGAAAACTAGGTGAGAATGTCTACTCTTAACACTACTACATGACATTTTCCTGGAGATCCTAGCCAGTGTAATAAGGCAAGAAAAGGCATACAGTTTGGAAAGGAATATATACTCTATTTTCAGATGGCATTATTTTTATAAAATGCTATGAGAATAAATAAATGAATGTAACAAAGTCTCAAAAAAGGTCATTGTAGAAAAATATATTTTATTTCTATTACTAACAATTGGCAAATGAAATATTTTAAAGGCTAATTATATCATCAAAAGATGAAATTCTTAAAGATAAATTTAGCAAGAAATAACAGGATCACTACACTGAACACTATAAAATATTACCGAGTGAAATTAAAGAAGATCTAACTAAGTAGATCACACTCGTGGATAAGAAGACTTAATATGGTTAAGATGTCGGTTCTTCACTTTTACATTGTTGGTGGGACTGTAAACTAGTCCAACCATTGTGGAAGTCAGTGTGGCGATTCCTCAGGGATCTAGAACTAGAAATACCATTTGCCCCAGCCATCCCATTACTGGGTATATACCCAAAGGATTATAAATCATGCTGCTATAAGACACATTCACACATATGTTTATTGCGGCACTATTCACAATAGCAAAGACTTGAAACCAACCCAAATGTCCAACAATAATAGACTGGATTAAGAAAATGTGGCATATATACACCATGGAATACTATGCAGCCATAAAAAAGGATGAGTTCATGTCCTTTGTAGGGACATGGATGAAGCTGGAAACCATCATTCTCAGCAAACTATCGCAAGGACAAAAAAACCAAACACCGCATGTTCTCACTCATAGGTGGGAACTGAACAATGAGAACACATGGACACAGGAAGGGGAACATCACACACCAGAGACTGTTGTGGGGTGGGGGGATGGGGAAAGGATAGCATTAGGAGATATACCTGATGCTAAATGACGAGTTAATGGGTGCAGCACACCAACAGGGCACATGTGTACATATGTAACAAACCTGCACGTTGTGCACATGTACCCTAAAACTTAAAGTATAATAATAATTTTTAAAAAAGATGTCAGTTCCTTTTAAGTTGATCTCTAGATCAACTCAAGTAATTCTAATCATAATCCCTATAAACAGTTCTATAAAAAATGACAAGCTCGTTCTGAAATTTATATAGAAATGCAAAAGAACTGGAATGGCCAAAACATTCCTGAAAAAGAAAGACATGCCCTATCTGATTTCAAGACTTACTATAAAGTTACAGTAATCCAGACAATGTGATGTTGGTAAAATAGACATAAACATCAAGGGAACAGAATAAAGTCCAGAAATAGATCCATATATGCATGGCCAATTGATTTTCAATAAAAAAACCAAATTAATCCAATGGGGAAAGAATAGTCTTTTCAACAAATGGTCCTAATACAGTTGGCTATCTACATTGCGGGTGAAGGTGGAGGGAATGGACCTCAACTCTTACACCCTAAACACAAAAAAGCTCAATATACATCATAGACCTAATAGTAAAAGCTAAAATCATAAAACATTTATAAGGAAACATAGGAGGAAATCTTTGCGACATCAGGGTAAGCAAGTAGATAGGACACAAAAAGCACACACAACAAAAGAAAAAATTGATATATTGGAGTTCATTAAAATTAAAATTGTCTACTCTTTGAAAGACATTGTTAAGAGAATACAAAGCCCAAGCCACAGACCGGAAGTATTATTTACAATAAGTATATCTAACAAAGGAATTATGAATAAAGAATTCTTACAACTTAAAATAAATAAAGCAACCTTTCAAAAGACGCCAAAAGATTTGAACAGACAAGTCACAAAAGACTATAAAAAGATGGCAAATAAGCACATAGATATAATGTTCAACATTATTAATCATTAAAGAAATGCAAAAAAATTATAGTGACATGCTACAGCACACCAACTAGAATAGCTAAAATGAAAAAGTCAAAATATCAAGTGTTGGTGAGGTTGTGAAGCATCATGTTAATGGGAATGTAAATTGGTACAAACACTTCAGAAATCAGTTTGGAGGTTTCTTCTGAAGTTAATCACATCTTTTCCATACAACCCAGTAATTCAATTATGACACATTTAGTCAAATGAAATAAAATGTGTCCAACAAATGTTTCTACACAGTCGTTTATAGCAGCCTTATTCATAATGGACAAAATTGGAAATTACGTAGATGTTACTTCAACAGGTGAGTGGATAAACAAATTATGATACACCCATATAATTAAATACTACCCAGATAGATGGAAGGAATTACTGATATGTCCAGTAACCTGGTACAATTTCAGAAACATTGTGTTGGGCAAAAAAGCCAGATACAAAACAATATATACTGTACAAGTATTTATATAAAATTCTAGAAGAGCAAACCCAATCTCTATTGACCAGAAATAGCTCAGTTATTGACTGGAGTTGGGCATGAAGGAAATTTTTGGTGTTATGGAAATGTTTACTCTCTTGTCTGTGGTAGTGGTTACATGGATTTATACATTGTCAAAACTCATTGACTTACACGTAAAATTGGTACACTTTATATTTTGTATATTATACATGAATAGATGATTAAAGTACTGGATTTCTTGACTTCCAAGAATTATAGCATACAAAATTATATCTTCCTAGCTATTTTCAAAGGGCAGACTAATTCTACTTTAAGCAAACAGCATTTGATGACACTTTTCATCACAGACAAGATTCTCCTGGTACGATTATTAAAAGTTGGCTTAGGCAACTTTTATAGCTAGACTCACCTAGGGGGAGAAGACCCAACTCTCCATTATTATAATTATTATAATTGAAAGGGTGCACTTAGAAGAAATGGACAAAATTCCTGATAACACAAATTTCCAAAACACAAAAAGAAATAGAAAAACTAAATCATGTATCCATTTTAATCACCAGATTTATTTGCTTGTAGCTTACCTGCAGGTTTAACAGTACCTTTGAAAGCAAATGAGTAGCCTAGCTGATATTTATCAAGTCTTATAGCCACCCTTTACTTGTTTTTCAATTAGTGTTTTTATTTTGAAATAACTATATATTTACATGCAGTTTTAAGAAATAATGTAGAGATCCCATGTACTCTTTACCCAGTTCCCCTGAATAACAACTTGCATAATTATGGTATAGTTTCACCCAGGAGATTGATATTGTTTCAATCCACTGATTGTGTTCAGACTTTCCGTTTTACTTATGCATGTGTGTGTATTTTATACAGTGTTATCATATGTAGGCTTGTGTGTCCACCAGTACAGTCAAGATATAGTTCTGTTACCACAGGGATCCCTAGTGGTGGTCTTCTGTAAGCACACTCCACTCCCCACATCCTACGTGGCCCTGTCCTTAACTCCTCATGACCACTAGGTTGGCGCAAAAGTTATCGAGGTTTTTGCAATTACTTTCAGTGGCGAAAACTGTAATTACTTTTCCACCAACCTAATGTGTTGCAATTACTTTCAGTGGCAAAAACTATAATTACTTTTGCACCAACCTAATGTGTTTTTTTCATTTCTGGAACGTTGTCATCTCAAGAACGTTTAATAAATAGGATCGTACAGACTGTAATCTTTGGGGACTGGCTTTTTTCTCAGCATAATTCTCTGGAGATTCATGTTGTATGTGTCAGTTGATCACACCTTCTTATTGCTGAGTAGTATTGTATAGTATGAATATATCAGTTTTCTTAACAATTAACCCTCTTAAAGACATGGGTTGTTTCCAATTTTAACTCCTACAAATTTATTTTCGACTGTCTTGATTTCATTATTCCATAACAAAACATAGCAACCCATGTTTCCCACAGTATAATTTAAGCATTTTGAAGAATTCTCAAATAATAAGATATTAACTTTCTGTATACTGTCTAAAATATCTTAAGATCTTTTCCTGAGTCTCTTTAAGGAAGTTTGCTTGAAGAAGTTGTATTCCAAGCACAGTGGAACTTCCTTTATGGAGCACCTTGGATTAGATTTTATCACAACTGAGAACATGACTTTTTGTGGACTTCTTGTGATTTTCAGATAATGATAAATGCAATCAGATAGAAGCCTGTGTGACTTCTAATTGGATCCCAGGGAAAATATATATCCTGTAGCATTTAGGAGAAAAAGTGCCTTGTTCAGGGGACAGAATGCCATTTTCTTCTGTGAGTGAAAAAGGGTGATTGATTCATTAGGCACCTAGGGTCAGTTAGATATTCCTGTTAAGAATATCTTACAATTTGTTGGGCAAAGGTTTTGGTTCTGACATATCCTTCATTCCCTTCAAAATGCATTTAGAATTTTTGTTCTGATCTTTCAGCATTAGAGGTTCCAGGCAAGATAAAGACAGTCAACTCTGAAATATAAACTTGTCATCGATTTTTTTCTTAATTTTTAGTTTGTGAAATCGTGTTCTCGGAAGCTCTTGTGAAACTTGCATATATTTGTATACAAATTGATTTTGTGATTTTAAATAATCAGTTCTGTTGCAGCTACAATTGCTGTCACTGTAAGCTTTTTCTGGTAGCAATCAATATCAGAAAGAAGTTTGCTAAATTGCAGGGAATCTGCTATTGCTAAGGAAAGTGTTTAATGAATAGACCAGCCATTAATTGTCTCTTGCTGTTAGATTCAATTACCTGTGAAACTAAGCAAATCCTGCCCACAGCTTTCTGATCTCTTCCTGTGTTTCCAAAATGTCCCTTCAGCAAACATAGTAGAGAAAAAAACGGGCAACTCCCTTTCTAGATTATTTATTTAAAACCTCAACTCTGACTTGCCCACTCAGATCTGGTTTCATTGATACCTAAGTTACTGAGGAAGTGCCCCTCCTCCAACTCCCTTCACTTACCTTTGCCATTTTAATTAGCAGATTATTTAAGCGGAATGGATTTTTGTTTTTAAGGAGCGCTGTCAGCAGTATTTACAACTTCTCCAAACCTTTTAAAAAATACTGTAGCATGTTTTAAATATAATAGATCAGTTTTTAAATACACTGTTTCAGGCCTATGGGAATAAAGTCTCTGGGGAAAAAAAAAAAACCAACAGAGGCATTAACCTAAGAGACAGAGTATAATGGAGGCTGGAAAGATTTGTCATTTATCCTGTCTGTGCTCCTTCACGATGTACCCAGATTCCCACTTCCTTACACCACTTCTACCTCTTACACCTGCTCCAGCCACCCCAGGATTATTACAGATGCCTCCTAACTGGTGTCCCAGCATCAGCCCCAACCCCTGCCTCTCCCTGCAAAGCAGAGCAGCCACACTGACCCTTTTCAAATGAGGCCAGATCACACCACTTTCTGTTCAACACTCTGCCGTGGCTTCTCACATCATTTAGAATAAAAACCACGCCCTGCAGAGTCCTACACATTCTGGCCACGTCCAACACACAACTCTCTGGCCTGGCCTGGCCTGCCCTTGCTGTCTTCCTGGCTCCCTCCATTGTCGTCACTGATGACCCTCACTGTTCTTGCCTGCCCAGCAGGCTTCTCTCTCCAGCAGGCTTCTCCCTCCAGCAGGCTTCTCTCTCCAGCAGGCTTCTCTCCCCAGCAGTCTTCTCCCTCAGACTGTGGCACTTTCCAAGCAAGTGCCAAAGTCTTCAGGTATCTGCAGAGTGTTTTCTTTCTCTGCCCAGCATAGTGCCTTCCCTGAGAGCCCTGTCAAAACAGTAGAACTACCCACCCTGATGTCCTAGCCCTACTTACCCTGCTTCTCTTTAGGGTATATAATTCTCCATCTATATTTAACATGTAAATATAAATGTATCTGTATGCTAATCCATTTATTTTCTAGAATGTAAGCTCCATTCTAGACATTTCTCTACATTTCTAGAATGTCTGTCCTCTGAGAGGACAGACGTTCTGTTTAGTGTTGCTACACAGCAGACTAGAACAGTGTGTGGGAGCCTAGAAGTCACTTAGCAAATTCTTATTGAATAAATAAATTAACCAATCTGTGTCCCCTTTCCTTTATGCCATATTAATATAAAAGTTACAGAATAAGCTACAAGCTAAGAAATCAGGGAATACCAAAGCTATTTAATAAGCATGAGTACAGTAAATAAATTGGTTTTGACAGGTTATTATTATTAATCTAGCAGTTTCTGGTAATGAATGTTAAACTCTTACCATTATGATTGTGAAGTTGTCAGTTTCTCTTTGAAATTAATCAGTGTTGCTTCACATAGCTCGAAGTATATTATCAGGTGTTTATAAGATTAGAACTATTTCTCTTATGGAATGAACATTTTATTATAATGACATTTATCCTTGATAACTACTTTTGCCTTCAAATTTGTTGTATTTTTACTACTTTTCTTTTTGTTGATATTTTCCTGTTACACCTCTTTTTCTTCACAAATATTTCAACTGTCTGTATTTGTATATGTGGGTTTGTCTCCTAAATAAGATATTTAGTGTTTTTTTCCCCACCACTCTAACCAACTGCCTTTTCATCAAGTCACGTGTGTTTACATTTACACACATGCACACCAGTTTTTTTCATTATTTCTTGTCAAATTTTTTTTAATGAATTCAGACATTTCTTCTTCCTGTACTGTATCTTTTCTTTGGATGCTTTGAGCCCTGTTGTTTTTTTAATTCTGTAGCTTCATACTGATGTATCTTGATAGAGGTGTAATTTTATTTATCTTGGGAAGGGATCGTTGTCCTTCCTAAATATGAAGATTCTTGTTTTCCATCAGTTATGAAAAATTCTCAGCCATTATATTTTCAGATATTACTTACCATATTATCTCTCTTCTGTCCTTTTGGAATTCCGGTGAGATGCATGCTGGCCATCACATTCTGCTTTCCCTGTCTCATAAGCTCTTTCACACATTTCATTTCTTAGTGCCATATTCTGAGGAATTTATTCAGATCATTCATCCAGTTCACTGCTTTTCTTCACATATATCCAGTTTGCTGGTTAGCATATCTGTTGAAGGATTCTTTTTTCTGACTCTATATATATATGTGTGTGTATGTGTGTGTATGTATATATGTATTTTTTCAAGAAGTTACATTTTATATCTTTTTAAATCTGAAGGTTTTTACAGTAGCTATTTTTTAATTTTTTACATATCTTCTTTAAATAATTATACTCATGCTTATTTTTGCTCCTAAGTGATAGTTTTATGGTCTAAAGTTTAATGTGCCTGTGGCTCTGCTGTTTATTGTTGTTATCCACTGCTGTCATCTACTGGCTACTGATCACGGTAGATTGTTTCCTCATGCATTTTGTATAATTGTCATATAAGTCTATTTTCATCACGGTTTTATCTGTGGCAATCCTGTGCAGCCTCTGTTGAGAGCTTGTCCTTCTAGAAAGTTTTTTTTTTTTTTTTTTGCATTTGCTTCTTTTAGATGCCACAGGGCTATCACCAACCAATAGGCTGGTCCCTAGAATAAGGGAACATTTACAATGGCTGCCTTATACCCTGTACTTCAGGTGGGAGCCCATAGAATGGCTGTACTTTACTTCTCCTTTCTGAAAATTAATACAAATAAATTTAGAAATTTCTGCCTTCATTGTATCCCAAGGGGCCCATGGAAGATACCTCTAGTGAGGCCTCTTTTCCAATGTCATTATCTTGGATGATCCCACACTGAGTTGCCCTTCCCAGAGGGCTTTATTGTCCTATGACATATTTTATTTTGATGTTAATTCCCCTACTTGGAGGTTCCTAGATTATTCATTGAAATCTCAATCTGATATAATATTTTTGGCCTGTGGTTATAAATTCTCAGGATGGAGATATAGTTACATATCCATATCTACATCTATATATGGTTACATATTCATATCTATCTTTATCTCTGTATCTTTATATCTATATATATGGACATGTAACTATGTGTGTATACATAGACATATATAAATATAAATATGTAACTATATATACATATAGTTCTAGACAGATAAATAGATAACGGTCTCAATCTAAGTTCACACAGAAACATACAAGTTTTCTTGTGTCCCACTTTCAGTGGGTGGGTATCTCTGCTTGTACACCTTTTAATCAAGTACACTATGCTTATACTTCCAGTCTCCTACAAGACCTTGTATGAAGTGGCCCTTGCCTATTTCTCGGCATCATTTCCCGCCACTGTATTCCTCTTACTTCTGTGCATCAACCATCTTAGTCTTTTTTCTGTTTCTCAGACATACCAACGTTACGTTGCACTTGCTGTTTACTCATAGAATGTCCTTCCACCATCTTCACATACGTCTGGCTTCTTATTGTCATTCAGATCACATATCCCTGAATGACAGGCTACATAATATGAGGACCTGCATGCAAAATGAAAATACAGGGCCCCTTGTTAAAAATGATTAATAATTTCAAGACAGTACAAGCAGAGCACTAAATCAAACAGAGACTTCTAAGCATGAGGCCATATGCAGTCGCAAAGATTACACACCCATGAAACCAGCGGGGCCTTCCTGACCAGCCCATCAACTGCCCAACCCCACTTAGTGCTTCTCTATTATATCACTTTTGTAGTTTTTTCATCATGACAATTGTCACTATGTGAAATTCTTTGCTTACTTATTCATTGGCTATCCCCTGGTACTAGATTCTAAGCTCTGTGGGAATGAGGATGGCTGTGTTGTTTGCTGCTGCAGCACCTAGAATGGTGCCTGGTTCAATAATTAGTTTGTGTAGTGAGTGAGTAATGTCTGCTTTCCTAATTAGTCTCCAAGTAGCCCAAGAATCTTCTTCAACATAAGATGCTGGGTCTCCACTTCCAGTTGATCTGATTTTGCACAAACCAGTGAATTTTGGATTCTAAGCCCGCCCTTTCCTTTTATAGATGAGGAAACTGAATCCCAGACAGTTTAAATAATTTGCTAAAATTCAGAAAACCAGTTAAGTGGCAGAGCTAGGAAAAGAAAAATAAGTCTGCTGACTTCTAATTCTACCCTCTTTTTCCTATGACTAGTACATTGGGTGAATTTTCCTGCTGTAATAATCTTTGTATTCAGCTACTTGACTTTTAAAATAATCTTAAATGGAATATTTCCCAAATTTGAATCTTAATTCTGTGCCAAGAGAAATTAGACTATGTCATGAGGTCAGCCCTCTCAAGCAGATTGTCATTTTCTCTGGGAAAACTCTCTTTTGTTTATGGCTGTTTGCTTTATGTTTTGTTTATGCCTTTGCTACCTACAGCAACTTCAGTTCTTTCTTTTTTTTTTTTTTTTTTTTTAATTTCCTCATTCATTTATTCAAAAATATTTATCAAGTGAAACACTATTATAAAAATATAAAAACTTTGTTTTAATAAATGATTTTTTTTTTAATTATACTCTAAGTTTTAGGGTACATGTGCACATTGTGCAGGTTAGTTACATATGTATACATGTGCCATGCTGGTGTGCTGCACCCACTAATGTGTCATCTAGCATTAGGTATATCTCCCAATGCTATCCCTCCCCCCTCCCCTGACCCCACCACAGTCCCCAGAGTGTGATATTCCCCCTCCTGTGTCCATGTGATCTCATTGTTCAATTCCCACCTATGAGTGAGAATATGCGGTGTTTGGTTTTTTGTTCTTGCGATAGTTTACTGAGAATGATGGTTTCCAATTTCATCCATGTCCCTACAAAGGATATGAACTCATCATTTTTTATGGCTGCATAGTATTCCATGGTGTATATGTGCCACATTTTCTTAATCCAGTCTATCATTGTTGGACATTTGGGTTGGTTCCAAGTCTTTGCTATTGTGAATAGTGCCGCAATAAACATACGTGTGCATGTGTCTTTATAGCAGCATGATTTATAGTCCTTTGGGTATATACCCAGTAATGGGATGGCTGGGTCAAATGGTATTTCTAGTTCTAGATCCCTGAGGAATCGCCACACTGACTTCCACAATGGTTGAACTAGTTTACAGTCCCACCAACAGTGTAAAAGTGTTCCTATTTCTCCACATCCTCTCCAGCACCTGTTGTTTCCTGACTTTTTAATGATTGCCATTCTAACTGGTGTGAGATGATATCTCATAGTGGTTTTGATTTGCATTTCTCTGATGGCCAGTGATGATGAGCATTTCTTCATGTGTTTTTTGGCTGCATAAATGTCTTCTTTTGAGAAGTGTCTGTTCATGTCCTTCGCCCACTTTTTGATGGGGTTGTTTGTTTTTTTCTTGTAAATTTGTTTGAGTTCATTGTAGATTCTGGATATTAGCCCTTTGTCAGATGAGTAGGTTGCGAATTCAATCCCCCCTTGGAAATACCTTGCCAATTCTTACTCAGAATAAGTTGCATTCCTATTTATATTATTCTCAGAAGAGATTCTAGTCACAAATTATTTTTTCTGTTTACTGTTTTCATTCAAAGCACGTCAGCACCAATTACCTTTCTGCAAAAATGCCAAGGATTTAAAGTTATATTACCCATTTGGGAAGCTCAATGGCAGTTTTAGAGTTGCCCTGATTTTTTATTGTACCTAGAAGATTGGGATGGGTCCAGCTATCACAATAAACATTACATATATGTTTACTTGGCAAAAATCTGCTTTTCATTGAACTGCAAAAAAAGGTAGACATCAATCTTCATTTTGTAATTTGTACATATCAGCTGCTCCACTGCACATGGGGAACACTTCTTACTCTAAGGATTCTGACAGGTGACACATTATTCTGTTGTAAATTTGATTCTCTCTGCACCAATCATCTGAAAGTTCTACCAAGTTTCTTGCTAAGGCATGTGAACTCATGATCCAGCCAGCTCTCCTCAGTTGCCAGGCTTTAGTAATGTGAATGTGTTATCCTGCTTTGTCTCAAAACACGTTCTTGTATAATAGGCCTAACTTTAAAAAGCATTCAAGTTGTTCCATTTCACTGACCTGCATTCTCTACCATTTGAATTGCTATTAATTGTACATACTGTTTTGTGGTC
The DNA here is from genome assembly GCF_000001405.40 of Homo sapiens. Taxonomy (NCBI): domain Eukaryota; kingdom Metazoa; phylum Chordata; class Mammalia; order Primates; family Hominidae; genus Homo; species Homo sapiens. Next base: position 39,799,644 of record NC_000012.12, on the reverse strand, counting down.
TTGATTTTTCCAATCTTTTTGACCAGGTTTTTAGCTAACCCCTGGTTTGCATTTGGTTTTTGCTTTTGTTTTTTTGGGCTATCTTCTTGTTTACTTTATTTGATTTACTCTACTCTGCCAGTTCTAAGGGAAATGAAGCTTATTTTTACTATAATTTTAGAGGTTATTCTGGGTGGATTTCTGTAAAAGTGCGCCGTGTAGAGGATCCTAATGGTTGAGATTAAAGAACAGAACAGACTGAGCTTAGTGGCTCATGCCTGTAATTCCAGCACTTTGGAAGGTCGAGGTAGGCAGATCACTTGAGGCCAGGAGTTTGAGACCAGCCTGGCCAACACAGCGAAACCCCATTGCTACTAAAAGCACAGGAAAAAAAAAAAAAAAAAAAAAAAAGGCTAAGCATAGTGGCACATGCCTGTAGTCCCAGCTACTCGAGAGTCCAAGGTAGAAGGTAGGAGAATCACTTGAACCTGGGAGGCGGAGGTTGCAGTGAGCTGAGATTGCACCACTGCACTCTAGCAGCCTGGGAGACAGAGTGAGACTCTGAGTCTAAAAAAAAAAAAAAAGGAAAAAAAAAAAAAACCAGAACAGTAATTCTTCAGGTGGCTGTATTATCTGAAGTGGGGATAATGGGGAGAAGATGGTAGGATTGTTCAAAACAAGCAACACCTTTGTTTTGTTACTCTAATTTATTTTGGAGACAATTTACAAATTATAATTTTAATGTATAATTATAAAGCTGTTGTATTATTTCATAAAATTATTTTTATATTATATAAAATACATAATAGTGCATTAACATATGTTTATACATCATTATAATTAATATATAATTGTGTTTATACAAAGTATTTTGAGCTTCATTTAGTACTAAAGGAATGTAAAAGATTTTTATGTTTCCAAAAGTGTCATGAGAAATGTCCCAGAAGGTTAAGAAAGACTGGAATGGATGTGATCTGTCTCACGAGTCTTTCAGCACTAGCCCGGGCTGTTCCAGGGAGGCTGTGCTTGCCCTGCCACGAGGCCAAACACAGGAGCTGGAGGGCCTGCTCAGGACAGAAGCACTTGCTTTACAGTTAGAAACAGTTGAAGCGCTCTTATGCGTAATAAGTATGTTGTAAATTTTTGATGAATTAATAGTTACTTGGGGATCTAGATTTTAGTTTACTGTTCATTAAGGTATCTCCTTTTGCTTTCAGTTACTTATTCAAGTTAATTGATCTTCATTTAATATTCCAAAGCCCCTATATTACTCATCTATTGCTATGCCACAAGTGACTCTAAAACTTAACAACTTCAAACAATGAACATTTATGTCTCACTCAGTTTCTCTGGGTCACAAATCCAGGAGAAGCTGAGCTGAGGCTCTGTGGTGGTATCTCTCATGAGATTGCAGTCCTCTGAAGGCTTAAGGGGAGCTGAAGGATCCACTTCCAAGGTGGCTTCCTCGTGTGCCTGGCAGGTTAATGCTGGTTGTTGTCCGACAGGCCTTAATTTCTCTCTTTATGTGGAGTTTTCCATTGGGCAGCTTGGCTGTCCTCATAACATGGTAGCTAGCTTCCTCCAAAGTGAATGATCCAAGAAAGAGACTGACAGACACCATCATATCTTTGATCTTAGCTTCTGAAGTCACACTTCATCATTCCATAATATCAAATTGGTTACACAAGTCAACCCTATTCTGTGGGAGCTACACAAGGGCATGAACACTAGGAAGTAAGATCACTGGGGGATATTCTGGAGGCTGACTCCCACAGCCCCTAATGAAGATCTCATTAGAAGTATTCTTTAATTAAAACAATAACTTTTATGTTTACATGGATAGAATATATAGGTTGAATTACGACCGGTTTTCAGTATGCATCCGTGTATGTGTGTGTGTGTGTGTGTGTGTGTGTGTGTGTGTGTGTGTGTGTGTGTTTACCATAACTGGCTTATAACATGTATCCATTAGCTTTTCATTTTATTTGAAAGCACACTTGCATCTTGGAATATGATGACATTATCTGCTTCATATTTATCATTCTCACAGAATAAAAGTTACCAATGAGAGACAACAAAAGGGACGAAGTTGTCCTCATAATCTATGTGAAATTGACTAAAATATTTAGCTACTTTACAAGAGATGGGTTATTGGATTAGCTCCTCATTTTGTGTCAAATCACCACTTATATATTTTCCCATATTGCTGTTATTTATGAAAATAGAAAACCATATTCTGCTAGAGAACCAACATATAAATGAGAAAAATACTGTGCTGAAATAGGAAAATAGGATTATAATTATAGCTCAGGAAATGCAAGTCAGAAATCCAAAATAAGTTCAGTGTATGCTGAAAATGTTAGCATTTTTCAATGTACTTAAAGATAATTACATTGCAAACATAATACAGTTTTTACCATTGTTTCCCAGCTGAAAGGTTTAGGTATGTTGGCGTGCTTACTTTAAATCAGGCTTGCATGCTTGCTTGAAATCACATGTTGTTTTCATAACATCAGAATTTTTACAAATAACAAAATGAATAGTTTTCATTAACCAGTACTTACTGTTGAATAGTTTCCATTATCGGGTGCCTACACAAGTTATCAAATAGTACTTTTTAGGTAATTATAAGTTTTTTAAAATAACCAAAAAACACTCTTTTACACTGATGTCGAACATAAAACAAATTATTTTTCTAATAGGATATTTGGCAATATGTTTTAAAAGACTTAATGTCCACATTCTTTAATAAGCAGCTTCACTTCTAGAAATGTGTTATAAGGAAATAACTAGAGAGGAAGTCAAAGGTGCATAAATGTCCATGGCAGCATTATCATTATTAAAAATAGTACAAAACCATCTAGCAGGAGAATGGTAAAATAAATGATGCTACATTCTTATTGTTAGTTGGCATATAGGCTGAACTGCTGAAACCAAAAGACCCATCTAAACAAAGTTGATTTCAATCATATTATATTCTAGGAGGTTTGCTGGCTGTACAGCACAAGATTATCTAAGGCCTGGGTTTCCTCTCCTTTTTCAGTAGTGACTAGGGTATTATACTTTCTAGCTTCTGCCAGCTCACTATCACTAGGACCTTGTGCCAGCTCCCAGCTCATGGGAATGGAAAAATGGAAAAAAAGGAAAAAGTGGGCAAGCAGCTTGCTTTTAAGGAAATGGCCTAGAAGTCTTATACCTCATTTCTTTTTTTGTTTGTTTAGGTTTTTTTTTTTTTTTTTTTTTAAGATGGGTCCCACTGTGTTGGCCAGGGTGATCTCAAACTCCTGAGCTCAAGAGATCCTCCTGGTTCAGCCTACCAAGTAGCTGGGATTACAGGCATGTGCCACTGCACCCAGAATTGTACCGTATTTCTGCCCACATTCCAATGGTAAAAATTTAGTCACATGGTCACACTCAGATCAGTTAAGATGTTAAGGGCTACCCCCTACATCGTGGGAGTGAATGAAATATGAAAATTGCCATGCATAACCTTGGAAACATGTTAGGTCTAGTACCAGTTACAAAAGGTGATATACTGTATGATTCCATTAATATGAAATGTCCATAATAAGCAAATCCATACACAGAGTAGATTAGTAGTTGCCAGAGGCTGGGGGGAGAAGAGGTTTGGGAGTGACTGCTAATGGCTGTGGGGTTTCTTTTGGGGCTGATGAAAATGTTCTAAAATTAGGTAGTGATGATGGCTACACAACTCTGTGAATATACTGAAAATCACTGAGTTATATGCTTTAAAAGGATGAATTGATGACATGTGAATGATCCCAATACAACTATTATAAAAGAAAAAAATGCCCCAATGCATAAAAGGACAGCAAGGAAGTTTCCTCCCTCAGCCATGGCTTGGATAGAGCAGGACACTCTACCCCAATAATTTAAAATCAGAAGTCAGCCCTTATGTGGCCTGACTTTATGTTTCCCGTGCCCATAAAACTTCTAGTAAAGATTTACTCGAAAGTAGCTCTGGCTCTGCAGCACCTCCAGGTGTCTAGCAACAGCCAATGTAAATCTTCTCTGGAAATAACAATGTCTATCCAAGCCCAAATCATTCCATAGATAAAAGTCCAAAGAAAATGAGTAACTCATGACATAAAATATACCAGGGAACTAGGCACCATGAGTAGGAATCAGTGAAACACCCAGTCATCAGCTGGACCTGCAAAGATTAGAGGTATTGGATTTATTAGACAAATATAAAATCACTGTGTTTAAGATATTTAAAAAATAAAAGAGAATTTTGGAAATATGAGCAGACAATAAGCAGATTTATAACTATAATTATAAAAATTCTAGAAAAGAAATATATGATAAATTAAGTTTAAAACTGTGTAGATTTATCAGCAGATTTGACTCAGTAGAATTAGTGAACTGAAAGACGGATATGAAAATGTTTCCTGAATGAAACTCAAAGAAACATTAAAAAAAAGATGTGACACACACAGAGAGAGAGAGAGGTGGGGGGAGATCAAGATATAAGAGACGTTAGGATAATAAGTTTAGCGTACTCCAAATGATAGTTCTAGAAAGATAGAATGGGGAAGAGGCAATATTTAAATGTATGATAACTGAGAATATTCCCGAATTTTTGAACCCATGGCTTTAAGAAGCACAAAGCATCCCAGCAGTAAGACAATATCCACACCAAACAGATTAGAATGAGACTGCTGAACAGCAAAGAGAAGGAGAAAATCTTAAAAAACAGCTAAGGAGGGTGGAAAAAGAAATCATCTTCAAGGCAAGAGCAATTAGACTGACAGCTCATTTCTTCAGAAGAGAATTTAATTTTATCCTTCATGCGTGGAGAGAAAATACACAGTTAAAAACCTTAGACAAATTAAATTTAACAGAGTTTAATTGTGCAAAGAATGATTCGCAAATTGAGCAAAGAATGATTCGCAAATCAGGCAGCCCCCAGAACCAGAATATGTTCACAGCCACTCCAGGCTGCCACATGGTTGGATAACATTTGTGGACAGAAAAAGGAAAGTGATGTACAGAAAATGGAAGTGAAGTACAAAAACAGCTGGATTGGTTACAGCTCTGCCTTTGCCTTCTTTGAACCTGCCTTTGCCTTCTTTGAACAGTTGTCTGTGGTTGTCTGAAGTTTGGCTACTGCGATTGGCTGAGACTTGGCTACTTGTTACAAGAGTAGGTTACAGTCTATTTTATACATCAAATTGCGTTATAGTTAATTATGTATGGGGAAACCTTTAGGCAGAATTTAAAATATGTAAAGAGGCAGCTCTAGGCCAAATGTAATTTAACAATACCAATTTATAATTCTATGCCCAGTGAAAATATCTTTCAAGTAACTAAAGAGTGTCTGTCAGAAATTCTTGGAATCTCAAAATGCAACAGAAAATGTATATTATTCAAATATCAAGAATAAGGGGGTTTTATAGGGGAAAAACACAAAAGCAACAAAGGGAGAGCTGCAAGTTTGGTGGACACTGTTCAGGCAACTCTTGCAATTTTGCAGAAGGGAGGTTTTGTTTTGGTTTTTTTTTTTTTTTTTTTTTTTTTTGCAATTTGGCCCATTCCAGGCCATACATCACCTTCTAGGAATTGCTAGCTCAAAAGAGTAATTTAGAGGGAGTGTGTTACTTTCTCAGTATCAGAGAACAAGAAAGTAGGTATTAGGTTCAGAGCAGAAAATTTTACAGTTCTCCACATCCCTCTTCTTGGCCAAGGTGGACAAAAATCCAACACTGACCAACCATAATGAGCTCACTGAGATAAAAGTCATTAGAATGGGAGGGTGAACTTCAGAGTTAAAGTTCCCATTTGCTTCTGTTCAAGATAATGTTCTGGGATCATTTATTTTGAAATTATGTCACTGCTTAGATTAATGACCCTAGAAATTATGCATTTCATGGGAGGGATTCCTATGAAGAGGAAAAGCAGGTGCATGAATAATCTGGAGAATTGTTCAGAGCCAAGACTCGGTTTCTGTTTGGAATGCCTAAAATCAGAGGTCCCAGCTCCATCTACCTAACGCAATATATATCCTAGTAAGGGCCAGGTTGTCCATGCAGAAGAGATTCTGGTTGGCTTCACGTTAGAAATGTTCTCAGGGATGCACATGCAGAAGTCATTTCCAAGTACTATACAAGTACCCCCACTCAGGAGGCTAAGATGGGAATAATGTTGTTGTGGTTATTTACATCCTTTGCAATTCCATATGAATTTTAGAGTGAGCTTATATTGCTAAGATTTTTATTGGACTTACATTGACTCTATAGATCAATTTGGGATGAATTGATGTCTTTACCAATAAACCCATAAACAAGGTACATCTCTGCATTTATTTAGTCTTTAATATTTTTCAGCAATGGTTTGTAGTTTTTAATGTACAATTTTGCACGTCTTTTGTCAGATTTCTTCCTAAACATTTCCTTTTCTAGTGCTATTATAAATAGAATTTTCTTTAATTCAATGTCCAATGATTGTAGTATATATAAATAGTATGTAGGTTTTAATGTGCCAATCTTGTAAAATGCAACCTTGCTAAATTCACTGATTCTTTTTGTTGATTCCATTAGATTTTCTACATATATGATGGTAGTGTTTGCAAACTGTAAGACTTTTAATAGACAATATAGTTTTATATCTTTATGACCCAAGGAATGTGAAAGATTTTGTTAACCAGTCATAGAAAACACAGGGCATAAAGGAAAATGTAGATATATGCCTACTTAAAGTTCATAACTTTGGTTCACAAAAAGATACCATAGAGAAAGTAGAAAGAGAAGCCCCACATTGATAGAAATTTGCAATACAGTTGACCCTAGAACAATATCGGTTTGAACTGCGTGGTCCACTTTTATGTGGGGTTTTTTTTTTTCATTAAATACAGCCAGCCCTCCATATCAGTGGGTTCTAAATCTACAACCAAACAGGAATAAAAAAATACAGTACTTGCAGGATGCAAAACCCACATATACTTTGGTATCTATATCTGACTTTTGGTATCTGTAGGGCCAACTGCAGGACTTGAGTATGTGTGGGTTTTGGTATCCACAGGGATCCTGGAACTAGTTCCCTGATGGATACTGAAGGTGACTGTATACACACCTGGCAGAGGCTTAGTATCTAGAATTGTGCTGCCCAAAATGGTAGTCACAAGTCACATGTTTTGAGGACTTGCAGTGTCTCTTATCCCAAATACATGCCAGATTTCAAAGACATAGTATGAAAACAAAAGAATGTTGCCTGTTCACTCTGATGGTAGTTTCTTTTGCTGTGCAGAAGCTCTTTAGTTTAATTAGATCCCATTTGTCAATTTTGGCTTTTGTTGCCATTGCTTTTGGTGTTTTGGACATGAAGTCCTTGCCCACGCCTGTGTCCTGAATGGTAATGCCTAGGTTTTCTTCTAGGGTTTTTATGGTTTTAGGTCTAACGTTTAAATCTTTAATCCATCTTGAATTGATTTTTGTATAAGGTATAAGGAAGGGATCCAGTTTCAGCTTTCTACATATGGCTAGCCAGTTTTCCCAGCACCATTTATTAAATAGGGAATCCTTTCCCCATTGCTTGTTTTTCTCAGGTTTGTCAAAGATCAGATAGTTGTAGATATGCAGTGTTATTTCTGAGGGCTCTGTTCTGTTCCATTGATCTATATCTCTGTTTTGGTACCAGTACCATGCTGTTTTGGTTACTGTAGCCTTGTAGTATAGTTTGAAGTCAGGTAGTGTGATGCCTCCAGCTTTGTTCTTTTGGCTTAGGATTGACTTGGCGATGCGGGCTCTTTTTTGGTTCCATATGAACTTTAAAGTAGTTTTTTCCAATTCTGTGAAGAAAGTCATTGGTAGCTTGATGGGGATGGCATTGAATCTGTAAATTACCTTGGGCAGTATGGCCATTTTCACGATATTGATTCTTCCTACCCATGAGCATGGAATGTTCTTCCATTTGTTTGTGTCCTCTTTTATTTCCTTGAGCAGTGGTTTGTAGTTCTCCTTGAAGAGGTGCTTCACATCCCTTGTAAGTTGGATTCCTAGGTATTTTATTCTCTTTGAAGCAATTGTGAATGGGAGTTCACTCATGATTTGGCTCTCTGTTTGTCTGTTGTTGGTGTATAAGAATGCTTGTGATTTTTGTACATTGATTTTGTATCCTGAGACTTTGCTGAAGTTGCTTATCAGCTTAAGGAGATTTTGGGCTGAGACGATGGGGTTTTCTAGATAAACAATCATGTCGTCTGCAAACAGGGACAATTTGACTTCCTCTTTTCCTAATTGAATACCCTTTATTTCCTTCTCCTGCCTGATTGCCCTGGCCAGAACTTCCAACACTATGTTGAATAGGAGTGGTGAGAGAAGGCATCCCTGTCTTGTTCCAGTTTTCAAAGGGAATGCTTCCAGTTTTTGCCCATTCAGTATGATATTGGCTGTGGGTTTGTCATAGATAGCTCTTATTATTTTGAAATATGTCCCATCAATACCTAATTTATTGAGAGTTTTTAGCATGAAGGGTTGTTGAATTTTGATGGGAGAAAATTTTTGCAACCTACTCATCTGACAAAGGGCTAATATCCAGAATCTACAATGAACTCAAACAAATTTACAAGAAAAAAACAAACAACCCCATCAAAAAGTGGGCAAAGGACATGAACAGACACTTCTCAAAAGAAGACATTTATGCAGCCAAAAAACACATGAAGAAATGCTCATCATCACTGGCCATCAGAGAAATGCAAATCAAAACCACTATGAGATATCATCTCACACCCGTTAGAATGGCAATCATTAAAAAGTCAGGAAACAACAGGTGCTGGAGAGGATGTGGAGAAATAGGAACACTTTTACACTGTTGGTGGGACTGTAAACTAGTTCAACCATTGTGGAAGTCAGTGTGGCGATTCCTCAGGGATCTAGAACTAGAAATACCATTTGACCCAGCCATCCCATTACTGGGTATATACCCAAATGACTATAAATCATGCTGCTATAAAGACACATGCACACGTATGTTTATTGCGGCATTATTCACAATAGCAAAGACTTGGAACCAACCCAAATGTCCAACAATCATAGACTGGATTAAGAAAATGTGGCACATATACACCATGGAATACTATGCAGCCATAAAAAAGGATGAGTTCATGTCCTTTGTAGGGACATGGATGAAATTGGAAACCATCATTCTCAGCAAACTATCACAAGAACAAAAAACCAAACACCGCATATTCTCACTCATAGGTGGGAATTGAACAATGAGATCACATGGACACAGGAAGGGAATATCACACTCTGGGGACTGTGGTGGGGTGGGGGGAGGGGGGAGGGATAGCATTGGGAGATATACCTAATGCTAGATGACGCGTTAGTGGGTGCAGCGCACCAGCACAGCACATGTATACATATGTAACTAACCTGCACAATGTGCACATGTACCCTAAAACTTAAAGTATAATAAAAAAAGAAGAAGAAGAAAAAAAAAACACTGTACACTTAGGCTATACTAATAAAAAATTCTTTCTTCAATGATAAATTAACCTTAGTCTGTCAAAAAAAAAAAAGAACACAAAAGAATGCACAGAATCTTAATAATTTCTATATTGAATATATATTGAAATTAAAATATTTAGGATATATTGGGTTAAATAAAATATATTACTAAAATTAACTTCACCTGTTTCCTTTTACTTTTTGAATGTGGCTACTAGAAAATTTAAAATTATATTTGTGGCTCATGTTGTATATTAAAGATATCCTGATTTATAATATATCTGGACGTTCCTATGAACCAATCAGAAATAGGCAAACTGTCCAATTGGAAAATGGGAAAGAATAGACACTCTATAAAAGCAGATACCCAAATGGCCAATAAATATGTGAAATGGGGGCTCAAGCTCTTAATTAATCAATAAAATGCAATTTAGAACGATATTGGCATACCATTTTTATCAACTAGGTTAATGGATACTTAAAAAAGAAATGTTGGCTAGGTTGTAGTATAGAGTTCTCTGTCTTCTACTGCTAGTGAGAATCTTAATGGTTTCAACTTCTTACGACACAGTTTGTATTATCTATAAAATTGACTGTGTGCACATACTCTATAATCCAGCAATTCTATTTATTCTGTTTTCCCATATTTATTAGAGAAACCCTTGCACACATGTACCTGGAGATATGTTAAAAATATGTGCATAGCAGCATTATTTGTAATTTTAAAAACTGGAAATGAGTAGGGGGATGTATACATCAGGGATAAACTGATGTATTTTCATAAAGTGTATATCATGATGCACTCAAAATAAACTGTAGCTAAAGGCATCTACCTGAATGAATTTCAAAAGCATAATATTAAGAAATTAAACAAGTAATAAAATAAATCATATAATAATCCATTAAGTTCAAAAACAGGCACAACCAAGTGATATGTATTTTTAGGAGTACATGCGTAGAAAATATCCTATACAGAAAAACAAGGATATAAATAACACAGAACTCATGATGGTAATTATCTCTGGGGCCAAGGGAGGGATCCTATCAGAAAGTGGTTCACAGAGAGCTTCTAAAATCTGATAATGATATAGTTAATAAGCTGATTGGTGAGTAAATCAGTGATTATCTTATTATCATTCTTTAAAGTGTACATAGATAACTTCTTTGTATGTATAACAGACTTTAATAAGTTAAAACAAACTACAAAACAACTATGGCATCAATCCGATTTTGTTTGCGCACACACACACAGTAGATTTTTAAATACGTATTAGAAAAGAACTCTAAGGAGGCATACCAAAATATTTATTTTATGGTGATAAGATGGCTACATGTAGATGAGTAGTTGAAGTTTGAGTCTGGAAATTTAGATTGCAGGGCAACTTCGATTGTTGAGCTACTTTCTAATACAAATCAGCATTCTGTTAATTGTGCCTATCAAAATATCAGCATCATTATATTACTACAGACCTGAACATGCAAGCTTGGATATTTTAGGAAAATTTTAGATGATTCCTAAAGTTTTCACACCTGCAGAAAGCCATGATTGGTCCATTTGATGTACTGTAGTCCTCCCTTATCCATGGTTTCTCGTTCCACAGTTTCAGTTTCCTGCAGTCAAACATAGTCCAAAAATATTAAACGGGCAATTTCAGAAATAAACAATTATAAGTTTTAAATTGTGTACCATTGAGTAGTGTGATGAAATCATCTTCTCAGTCCCACCTGGGATGTGAATCATCCCTTTGTCCAGTATATCCATGCTGTCTCAGCTAGCTGCACCTTAATCATTTAGTAGTCTTCTCAGTTATCAGATTTCCTGTTGCACTATTGCACTGTGTTCAAGTAACCCTTATTTGTTACTTAATAATGGCCCCAAAGCACAAGAGTAGTGATACTGGCATACTGTTATAATTGTTTTTTATTTTATTATTAGTTATTATTGTTAATCTCTTACTGTGCCTAACTTATAAACATATTCATAGGTTTATAAATGTAGGAAAATGACACAGCATCTATAGGGTTTGGTACTAGGTATGAGGATCTTGGAATGTATCCCTCACATATAAAGGTGAACAACAGTACATAAGTTTCCTAGAGGTAAAATAATTTTTGTTTATATACCCCACAACAAGTATGAGTAATAGAATATTGTTTGTATTATTATGTAATTGTCCTAGAATTCATAAATTACTACATTCTCATTCCTTGGCCAAATTTCTATGATAGAATTGGCAGTACCATATATTACATTAGTACCAAGTACATTTTGTAGGTGACAATACTGCTCTTTTCATCAATACCACTCTTTACATGATGGATTCATGGCTAGCAAACAGAAGTGAATTATCAGTAAACTTGATGCATTTGGCCTTTCTGATTTTTAGATAACGAGAAAATTAAAAGTAGGTCTCCCAGCTGTTTCCATTCACCTAACATCATGTCATTTATTTATTAACAGACACCTTATCTTGTCTCTTGCCCTTGCTATTTATTCATTTGCATGCTAAAATTTATCCTAATGTTACAAAAGATAATGCTTACATTACTGAATAGAAATGAGTAAGTTTATTCATGATTGCATGAAGAGAAAACTTGTTTCAATAGGGACTGAAGAGGAAGCCAAAAAAGTATATCAAAATGTGATTAAAAGATTAAGAAAAGTAGTATGCCTGGGATAAATAAATAAAGTGAACTGAAGGAAAAAAATAATCTCCTAGAAATCCCGATAAAGGATTTCTCTCTGCTTTAGAGAACACATCATATCCACAGGGAATATTGTAATGTGTAAAACTTTATAGAAGAAAAAGTATTCCTTTCTGTCCTTGGGGCTGGCAGAATGCATGCATTTTTAATAATAACAACAGTAATTACTGTTATTTTAATACTAATTTCATTTCATGCTAAGCATTTTTAAATGAAAATACCATGTCTCAGGTAGGTTAAGTAACTTGATGGAGGCCACTGGTGGAAGGTAGTAAGTGGTGAAGCCAGAATTCAAACCTGGGTCTGTTACACTGCAAGGCTTGTGTGTTAACCTTTGTATAAAACTAGCCATATACCGAAATCCATCTAAATTTTTCTGCAACTTTTAACCAGATTGAGTCACTCCTGATACATAGATCAGAGGTTTACCGTAACATCTAGGTAGACTGCCTTGTTTTACTACATTACAGAACTTCAATGCTATTTATTATTTTTTTAAAAAAAAGAAAAAACACAGAAAATATGCCCATGTCTCTGATTAGATTCATGTAAAAAGTCCTCTGGCTATTATGACTGCTATGCCAAGAACAAAGGTAAGTGGACAAAGAACTAGCTCAAAATAAGTCATTTACTAAAATCTCAATTCCATCAGTTCTGTCTCACAGAGGAAACAGTCATTGCACCTGTTACAGGAGAGAGGGGATTTAAATATAGACCACTTAACCCCTTGAGTAAAGATAGTACAGAGAATGATTCACCCACCAAGGCTGAGCCCAGATTTAATACTGTCTGTCTAAGTTCCCCCAATTCCTAAAAGTTTCTGACTCTGATTTTCTGTGGTGTGGTCAGGGCAGCCAGATGGCTTTGACCATCCTGAGCCCCAAGTCTGAATATCATGCTCTCCTTGTGCTTTATATGCAAGGGCCTGCTTAGAATGCACTCCAGATACCTTGAAACCCTCTTCCCTTATAAGTTAGAACACATGACCAGCCCCAGAGAGCTTTCTGGGTGTATTAGTCCATTTTCATGCTGCTGATAAAGACATACTGAAAACTGGGAAGAAAAAGAGATTTAACTGGACTCACAGTTCCACATGGCTGGGGAGGCCTCAGAATCATGGTGGGAGATGAAAGACACTTCTTACATGGCAGCAGCAAGAGAAAAATGAGGAGGAAGCAAAGAGGAAACCCCTGATAAAACCATCAGATCTCATGAGACTTATTCGCTATCACGAGGATAGCATGGGAAAGACCAGCCCCCATGATTCAATTACCTCCCCCTGGGTACCTCCCACAATACATGGGAATTCTGGGAGATATACCTCAAGTTGAGATTTGGGTGGGGACAAAGCCAAAGCACATCATTCCGCCCCTGGCCCCTCCAAATCTCATGTCCTCACATTTCAAAACTAATCATGCCTTCCCAACAGTCCTGCAAATTCTTAACTCATTTCAGCATTAACTCAAAAGTCCACAGTCCAAAGTCTCATCTGAGACGAGGCAAGTCCCTTCCACCTATGAGCCTGTAAAATCTAAAGCAAGCTAGTTACTTCCTAAATACAATGAGGATACAGGTATTGGGTAAATTCAGCTATTCCAAATGGGAGAAATTGGCCAAAACAAAGTGGTTATAGGCCCCATGCAAGTCCAAAATCCAGCAGGGCAGTCTAATTTTAAAGCTCCAAAATGATCTCCTTTGATTCCAGGTCTCACATCCAGGTCATGCTGATGCAAGAGGTGGGTTCCCATGGTCTTGGGCAGCTCCGCCCCTGTGTCTTTGCATGGTAGAGCCTCCCTCCTGGCTGCTTTCACGGGCTGGCGTTGAGTGTCTGTGGCTTTTCCAGGCTCATAGTGCAAGCTGTCGGTGGATCTACCATTCTGGGGTCTGGAGGATGGTGGCCCTCTTCTCACAGCTCCACCAGGCAGTGCCCCAGTAGGGACTCTCTGTGGGGGCTCTGACCCCACATTTCCCTTCAGCAGTGCCCTAGCAGAGGTTCTCCATGAGGGCCTCGCCCCTGCAGCAAACTTTTGCCTGGGCATCCAGGCATTTCCATACATCTGAAATCTAGGTGGAAGTTCCCAAACCTCAATTCTTGACTTCTGTGCACCCACAGGCTCAACGCCACATGGAAGCTGCCAAGGCTTAGGGCTTCCACTCTCTGAAGCCACAGCCAGAGCTGTATGTTGGCCCCTTTCAGCTGTGGCTGGAGCAGCTGGGACACAGGGCACCAAGTCTCTAGGCTGCACACAGCATGGGGACCCCAGGCCTGGCCCAGAAAACCACTTATTCCTCCTGGGCCTCCGGTCCTGTGATGGGAGGGGCTGCTGTGAAGGTCTCTGAAGTGGCCTGGAGACATTTTCCCCATGGTCTTGGGGATTCACATTAGGCCCCTTGCTACTTATGCAAATTTCTGCAGCCGGCTTGAATTTCTCCCCAGAAAATGGGTTTTTCTATTCTACTACATCATAAGGCTGCAAATTTTCTAACTTTTATGTTCTGTTTCCCTTTTAAAACAGAGTGCTTTTAACAGCACCCAAGTCACTTTTTGAATGCTTTGCTGCTTAGAAATTTCTTCCACCAGATACCCTAAATCATCTCTCTCAAGTTGAAAGTTCCACAAATCTCTAGGGCAGGGGCAAAATGCTGCCAGTCTCTTGCTAAAACATAACAAGAGTCTGTAAAAATGTTCTCCCATTCTATAGGTTGCCTGTTCACTCTGATGGTAGTTTCTTTTGCTGTGCAGAAGCTCTTTAGTTTAATTAGATCCCGTTTGTCAGTTTTGGCTTTTGTTGCCATTGCTTTTGGTGTTTTAGTCATGAAGTCCTTGCCCATGCCTATGTCCTCAATGGTATTGCCTAGATTTTCTTCTAGGGTTTTTATGGTTTTAGGTCTAACATTTAAGTATTTAATCCATTTTGAATTAATGTTTGTATAAGGTGTAAGGAAGGGATCCAGTTTCAGCTTTCTACATATGGCTAGCGAGTTTTCCCAGCACCATTTGTTAAGTAGGGAATCCTTTCCCCATTTCTTGCTTTCGTCAGGTTTGTCAAAGATCAGATGGTTGTAGATGTGTGGCATTATTTCTGCGGGCTCTGTTCTGTTCCATTGTTCTATATCTCTGTTTTGGTACCAGTACCATGCTGTTTTGGTTACTGTAGCCTTCTAGTGTAGTTTGAAGTCAGGTAGCGTGATGCCTCCAGCTTTGTTCTTTTGGCTTAGGATTGACTTGGCAATGCGGGCTCTTTTTTGGTTCCATATGAACTTTAAAGTAGTTTTTTCCAATTCTGTGAAGAAAGTCATTGGTAGCTTGATGGGGATGGCATTGAATCTATAAATTACCTTGGGCAGTATAGCCATTTTCACGATATTGATTCTTCCTATCCATGAGCATGGAATGTTCTCCATTTGTTTGTGTCCTCTTTTATTTCGTTGAGCAGTGGTTTGTAGTTCTCCTTGAAGAGGTCCTTCACATCCCTTGTAAGCTGGATTCCTAGGTATTTTATTCTCTTTGAAGCAATTGTGAATGGGAGTTCACTCATGATTTGGCTCTCTGTTTGTCTGTTATTTGTGTACAGGAATGCTTGTGATTTTTGCACATTGATTTTGTATCCTGAGACTTTTCTGAAGTTGCTTATCAGCTTAAGGAGATTTTAGGCTGCGACGATGGGGTTTTCTAAATATACAGTCATGTCATCTGCAAACAGGGACCATTTGACTTCCTACCCATCTAATATCCAGAATCTACAAAGAACTCAAACAAATTTACAAGAAAACAAACAACCCCCAAAAAGTGGGCAAAGGATATGAACAGACACTTCTCAAAAGAAGACATTTATGCAGCCAACAGACAATGAAAAAATGCTCATCATTACTGGCCATGAGAGAAATGCAAATCAAAGCCACAATGAGATACCATCTCTCACCAGTTAGAATGGCGATCATTAAAAAGTCAGGAAACAACAGGTGCTGGAGAGGATGTGGGGTAATAGGAACACTTTTACACTGTTGGTGGGACTGTAAACTAGTTCAACCATTGTGGAAGACAGTGTGGTGATTCCTCAGGGATCCAGAACTAGAAATACCATTTGACACAGCCATCCCATTGCTGGGTATATACCCAAAGAATTATAAATCATGCTGCTATAAAGACACATGCACACGTATGTTTATTGCGGCACTATTCACAATAGCAAAGACTTGGAACCAACCCAAATGTCCATCAGTGATAGAGTGAATTAAGAAAATGTGGCACATATACACCATGGAATACTATGCAGCTATAAAAAAGGATGAGTTCATGTCCTTCGTAGGGACATGGATGAAGCTGGAAACCATCATTCTCAGCAAACTATCACAAGGACATAAAACCAAACACCGCATGTTCTCACTCATAGGTGGGACTTGAACGATGAGAACAGTTGGACACAGGATGGGGAACATCACACACCAGGGCCTGTCGTGGGGTGGGGGGAGCGGGGAGGGATAGCATTAAGAGACATAAGTAATGTAAATGACGAGTTAATGGGTGCAGCACACCAACATGGCACATGTATACATACATAACAAACCTGCACATTGTGCACATGTACCCTAGAACTTAAAGTATAAAAAATAATAATAATAAAAATAACAAGAGTCACCTTTGCTCCGTTTTTCAACAAGTTCCTCATCTCCCTCTGAGACCACCTCAGCCTGGACCTTATTGTTCATATCACTATCTGTATTTTTGTCAAAGCCATTCAACATGTCTTTAGGATGTTCCAAATTTTCCCACATTTTCCTGTCTTCTTTTGATCCCTCCAAACTGTTCCAACCTTTGTCTGTTACCCAGTTCCAATGTCAAGTTCACATTTTCGGGTATCTTTTCAGCAATGCCCCACTCTACTTGTACCAATTTACTGTATTAGTCCATTTTCATGCTGCTGATAAAGACATACCCAAAACTGGGAAGAAAAAGAGGTTTAATTGGACTTACAGTTCCACATGGCTGGGGAGGCCTCAGAATCATGGTGAGAGGCAAAGGGCACATCTTACGTGGTGGCGGCAAGAGAAAAATGAGGAGGAAGCAAAAGGAGAAACCCCTGACAAACCCATCAGATTTCGTGACACTTACTCACTATTACAAGAATAGCATAGAAAAGACCGGCCGCCCCCATGATTCAATTAGCTCCCCCTGGGTACCTTCCACAACACGTAGGAATTCTGAGAGATACAATTCAAATTGAGATTTGAGTGGGGACACAGCCAAACCATGTTACTGGGGAAACTTCTACACAAGGTAAACACAAAGGTTTCTTAACAGCAGACTGCCTCTTACTTTGTAATAAAAGCATAGCAAGACTTCCTTAAGTTAAAATATGCTTTCCCCTAAGATTTTTGTCTTTATGTCCTAAGATTTGGTCTTACTTCTAGGCATAGTTCCATACTATGATTACCTCGACCCCACCAAGTACAAGCCCATCTAGAATCCAAGATAGAGCCTAGATGTTGGGTAATTTTCAGTTCCTGTATTCACAAGACAACCATAACTCAAGATTATCCATTGCTTCATTGTTCAGAATATTCTTCATTACCAGGTGGTAGAGCTGATCTCCTAGACACCTCTGCAAGTACAGGCAAATGTCCTAAATCCCTTCCTCCAGGGTATGTGAGGGCCGTATATGAGCCCACCCACTAACTTTTGTCCATTGCTACCAGATCCTTTCCACCCATTCTAAAGAGAAGCACGACAAATGTCTACTAATATCTCTTTTATGTTGTATGCTTGTCTATGTGTTTGTGTGTGTTGGAAAATAACTATGCTGTTAAAATATAACTTCCAAAGTTGCTCTGGACTATAATATGGAAATTCATAGCAAGAATAAGGGATAAATTGAATGACTTATTCATTCTCTCCTTACATAAAATCGCTTTGAAAATAAGGAAACTTCAAAACTGTGAGACAATATTTTGTTACATTTGTGAAATGGTGAAAATGATTCCTTCATTAAACAAATATGTATTGAGCCCCAACTGTGTGCATGTCACTGTACTAGCCCCTGGGGCATAGTGGTGACAATGGCAGGTGACGTGGAGGAGGTGCTGTGGAAGGCTGGAGGGGGCAGGCCAGACTGTGCGGGGCTCCCTCAGTGGGAAGCTGGGCTCTTTTTAGGAGACTGGGTGTGACAGTAGGTGTGACATGATTTTCTTTGTGCCAGTGCCAGGAACAGATTAGAAGGGAGGATAGAGTGAATTTTAATAGACCTGTTAAGCTATTCACTCACCGAACTGGTAGAAAACTCATCTTTGATTTGGAAGGATTGAGATAGATTTTCTCAGTTTTACAGTTTTGTTTCATTGCTGATAATCAGTAAGGTGCTTCAGAACTTTCTATACAAATCAGGAAGTGAGTAAAAAAAAGGCAATTGCAGTTAAAATGCTTAATCTGTGAAGCTATTATGTTTTCACTTTAGCAGTAACTTGAGATGAAATATTGTGAAACTGCCTTACAGTTTATAGTTTTACGATAATGACTTTCCATCTCCTCATTATTTACAAAGCTCTTATATGTCAGTAACTAATGGCACAAGTTCTATTTTAAATAATTGCTGAGACACTCCACATGTATTTTCATACTCTAAGCAGCTTCTAGGGGAAGTTTTTTTAAAAAATTTCTTTTAGTTCCTTACTGTCATGACTGTATCAGAGAAAATCATTATGTAGCTCCATGTTTTCGTGTATGTATTATTAAAAGACTGCCTAACACTGCCATCTTATTGCATTAGAATGACTGTTCTCCTTGTAATACATTTGTAGTGTTGACATCACTACTCTCAAATGAGTTACTTAGTCATTGAGATTGATATGTGATATTTTAACTTCTAGCTCATCCAGGCATCCTTTCTGTTCTAATTATTGTTTTGAGCTTTTGGGGCCAAATGGATACTGAGTCAAAAGAGAATATACAGGACACAGAGGCGCAGACCTGCCAAGATGCTGCTTATTTTAATTCCTAATGCTCTTTGAGAAGCATTTTATTCTACTCATTTTTGGATGATATTTCAGTGGCTTACTTCACTGCTGTTATTAAAAAGAATGCTAACTTAGGGGAGATTTCAAGCAGTTTTCATTTCATCTCTTTTTCCATTCAAATTCCATAAAAAGTAAGACACCTCAAGAGAGGTTTCCATATATATATCTGAACTGGTAAGATGATTATGTTGAAGGAGAAAGAGACAGAGAATACTGGATTTGAAACACTGCTGTCACTGTGTAATCTTGGGGAAGTCACTATATTTAAAAAAGACTTATATGCAAAATGGGAATAATGATGCTATTGCTTTGAATTGTCATCAGATTTAAATGAAGTAATATATACGAATGGTGTTTTGTATACGGTAAGTCTCTATACAAACGTTAGTCAATTTCATCAAATGAGGAATTTACATCTACTCAAGGACATTCCTGTTGGGAACACAACTATCATAAAGAAGCCACAGAACTCACACTTGATGGAAAGCAGCTATAAAATGGATTGAAAAGAATCCAATAAAGAAAGTATGCCATTGTTTGCATCACGATAGCCCACAGTGATAAATCAGCTTGCATTCATTCTCAGGCACCTGCAGATAAACACGAGCCAGAGATACTGTGCAGGCACTCTTGCAGTGGAAAGAAAATAAAATCAGAATACTGGTGTAGTTTGAAATTTTTAAAGCTTAGGATGATACAGATAGATTTTTCAATGCTTATGGTAAAGAAATGTGTCTCTCCTTTTACCATCACAGACAGTCACGTTTTAAATTAAATAGACATAGATTTCTTAGAGGTCAAGAAATTTCAACAGCAAATATATGTCTTCTCTGAGGCTTACAATGTAGTGAAGAAATTGTTGTCAGATGACAAAAGATCAGCCTAATGGGAAGCAAAAAAAGTGTTTTAATTTTTTTAATTAACATTTACATTTATTGAGCTATTGACTATGTGTAAAATGTTGTGCCAAGTGCTGGCCTATGACGCCTGGGGAAGGAAAAGGGAAGATAATAGGTATGGTGTTCTCACTGAAGTTTACTATCTAGTGAGGGTCATAAAAGTCCCCCAAAAAACCCAGGGAAATAGAAGAATTCAGGCAATAGAGTGAAGGCTTAAGTGTAGAAAAACATCAGTTCTCTCAATTGGAACTTGGGGAGGATGCTGCAATCAGATGGCAGTGTTAAGCAGTCCTTCCCGTTTCAGAAGGACATTTGAGAATGCTGCATCCAACATACTCATTTTATGGATAACTCAAATGAGGTCCAGTGAGGTTGAATGGCTTGCCAAAGTCTCAGAGCAAAACTGTAAGAAAAACCAGTCTTCAGTTGCACCCCGCCCATAGGCCACCCAGCTCAGGGGCTAGTAGCCACTGAGATCCAACTTATGCCAGCCCTTGGGGCCAGCTGTAGGGATGACTCTTCCTGGGGGAAAGTGTCTCATATTCTAGTTGTCACAAAGGCATGTATTACCTACGTCCTGGTTCTGACTCCCTAGTTAGTTCTTTTCCCTGCAATTAGTGGTTTTTCAGATATTTCCCTTCCTCATTATTAAACTCTTAACCTAAAAAGTAACCCCCAAACTGATAGAAACAGAGTTTTCCTGGAAGCCCTGCCAACTTAAACTCCTCCTATACCCCTATAGATGTTGCTAAATGGTTTTGTGTTGCAGACTTGCTGTTTTTCAGTCATTGGTATTTAAGTTGATAGCCACTTGTTTTGGTATCTCAAAGGATGTCCAACACCTGGGGCAATGTATGTATACTCATGTGTCAAATAAATGAGTGAAGAAATGAATGACGAAAAGACAATGAGTTCAATAGAGTCTATTTTACTGGTTGCCACTGATTTAATAATTTAATGTAATAATACGTTAATAATAACTATTTAATGATAAAACCATTTTTAAACCAAAATAACACAAAATAAATAAAATTAATAATATAACTTATCAAGAGATAAAGTTATTTCTTTGGAACCGGGTTATGAGTGGCCCTCACATGAGTCTGTTCCAAAGAAATAACTAACTTCGTCCCTGTGATATATGCCTTTGTGACAACTAGAATATGAGACACTTTCCCCCAGGAAGAGTCATCCCTACAGCTGGCCCCCAAGAGCTGGCAATAAGTTGGATCTCAGTGGCTACTAGCCCCTCAGCTAGGTGGCACATGGGCAGGGTGCTACTGAAAACTGGTTTTGCTTACAGTTTTGCTCTGAGACTTTGACAAACATTCAGCCTCACTGGACTTGATTTGTGCCCTCTATAAAATGAGTACGTTGGATGCAGTGTTCTCAAATGTCCTTCTGAAATGGGAAAGGGTCTCTTGTCCCCCTCGCAGGGTGTGTGATGGGGGTGTGGCTCACTTCTTCACCGCCCTGCTGCTCAAACCTCTAGGGGAGCATACAGATGGGCAGGCTGTGGGACTCCAACCCCATGGCAGTGTCTAGGGGTGAATGTTTACAGCTGAAGCCCCAGTGGGCGTGTGTTACAGGGTGCTCTTTTAGTTTAGCCATCCATAGGTAGCTCGTGTTAGTCAGCTCAATTAGACCCCTGCCTTACTGCAGGGACAGAGGGCTTTCTGTATCCTAGGGATCTTGCCTCTGTGTACCAGAAGAATCAGATCACACGTGGACTTGGAGAATGAGTGCAAGGTTTTATTGAGCAGGTTTTATTTACTCAGTGGACTGGGCTCTCATCCGACTGCCCCAGCCAAACTCCATGTCATTCTGCCACTCAGTGGCCTGCTGGCATGCCGATGCCTGTTGGTGCGTTCCTCTCGACGGCCAGCCACCTGTGTGTGCCTCCATTGATGTGCTTCTCTCGACATCCAGCCACCTGTGTGTCTCCCTGCTAGGGTCTCGGGGTTTTTATAGGCACAGGATGGGGGCGTGGCAGGCCAGGGTGGTCTTGGGAAGTGCAACATTTGTGCAGGAAAACAAAAATGCCTGTCCTCACCTATGTCCATGGGCCCGGGCCCTGGGTGGAGCCCTAGTCAGGGACCACGCCCTCCTCTACCTAGCACTTCCCTTCCATATCATTTAAAGGGACCATGCTTTTCCCTTCCCAGCACTTCCCTTCTGTATCACTTCTCTGCTGTAGATTTCTATAATTTTAATTTGATGACCTTCATCTAAATAAACTCATTTTATTTATCATAACTCTGGAGTCAAAACATACAAATGAACTTATCCTGAGTTTGTTGCTATTATTTCAATTGACTATTTCCCTGCCTTTACTCAGTTTAGTCCGGTCTCTTCTTTTCACCCAAAGTCCCTCATATGATTGGCTCATTATGGCAAGAAATAAAAGGAAGCGGGAAGAAAGGAAAGTGAACCATAAGTACAATATGAAAAACTAAGTTTGTTTTTTCTTGAGTGACAAGGACGCAGATTCCGAATATGATTCCAAAAGGAATTCCAGAAAATATGAGCAGTATAGTACAGCATAGTTGGAATAAGTATTAATATATTACCTCCCATAGCAACTATATGGGGAAAAGCCATCTTAATTTTTTATGCCATGTCTATAAAAAATTGAAAAAGAAAAAACCCATAGGAATGGAGTTGTGTTGCCAACATAGAAAAACCTGTGGGGTTTTATTAATTCAAAATCAGGATCAGTACTGTCTTAGAACCTAGCCATCACTTTGTTATAACTTTTCATGTTAAGCAGAAAAGAGACATGCTTGATTTCCTCAGTTAATGAAAGTTTTACAATATAGGTGCATAGGAAAGTTAAAAAAAAGAAAGAAAAATGTCTCAACTCCACCCATCCCTACCTCATGGAAATCTAGAATACTGCTCAGCAGACTGGCAGCAGTCTGTGTTTGGTTTCTCTTCTATACTCTTCTCCATCACTGTCAACTCCGTGACCCTTCTTTACCTCATGGCTTCTATTGCAGTATGGCCTCTGCCTACAGGCTTCTCTGTCATTCAACTTCTGTGTCACTCTATCCTCTTTCAATATTTCATATTCTGACTTCTCAGAGAATATAAACCATATGCCACATCATTCTCTGGTATACAGCACCCACCCCTTGCCAAGCCGCTTCCTAGGGCACTGGGCAGGCTGTTGGTGGCCTTTATGCCACACATAGTTATGGCCAGGCAGGCAGGTTTTGCAGGGGAGCACTACCACTTGTGCTTGGTGGCGAGGGGGACCACTCAGCTGTCGGCAGAGGTGGGCCCCACAGCTCCTAAGCGGGGAAGCAGTGTGTAGTATAAATATGGAAACCAGCATTTTGAGGCCTTTGGTCAATATGAAGGAACCGCACAATGGAGAAGATGCATAATTCCCTTCCTTTCAGTGCCAGTTGAAGCAGGAGAAGGGCTAATAACTGTAATGCCTGACTGTATTATGGGAAAAATTGTAGGGGGGAACAGCAATATGGAAGAAGAAGCCCCAGATTAGCTGTCTATGAGTCACTAAACTTTCTCCCATCTTCTCAAATTAATACTGTCACAACTACAGTTTCAGTATTCCTGATCCAAAAATCTAAAATCCAAAATGCTCCAAAATTCCAAGCTTTTTGAGTGCTGACATGATGCTCAAAGGAAACGCTCATTGGAGCATTTTGGATTTCAGATTAGGGGTGCTCAACCAGTAAGCATAATGAAAATATTCCAAAATCTGAAATCTGAAACACTTCTGGTCTCAAGTATTTTGAATAAGGGATACACAACCTGTATAAGTTCAACCATGAAAACAATCATTAAGTAATAAATTACCTTCTCCTCCCCTAATTTTTTATATTTCCAGTCACTCTTATCCATATAACTTATTCTCTGGCAGTATTTGTAGTTTGATATCTTACCCACTCCAACTTTGTGACATCTTGTTTGTTTCCAGGTAGACTTTATGAAGTAGGCCATGGCCAGGCTTGCTTTGGATGTGATAATGGAATAAGAGAAAGAACTTCAAAGTATTTTCTTATGAATTAATAGAGTCTAAACATTTTCTTAGACCACTCAAATGCTAACGTGGACCCTCCCCAAGGCAGAGTTCAGGGCTCCTCTGAGCCCGTAGCCTGTTAACTTCACAATGACCAGAGAACTTCAGGAATACAGGAGGAACTGGAGAGGCAGAAGTAGGCCACATCCACATCCTCATGTCCTGGATTTTGCATACACCTATTGCCTTGCTTGTTGGCCAGTTTGGTGCCAAAATGAAAGTAACTTACGTTACCTAAGACTTCATTTTCACCAGTCTTCTATCCAGACCAACCTTTGTGGCCCAATTTACTTTAAAATGATTATTTTAATGGCTGCTTTTTTATTCAGTTGTACCTTAATTGCATTAACTACCCTTCCATTGTGGGAGACTTTTATGGTTTCTAATTCTCTATCTATGTTAATCTTGTGATAAATGAAAGCACAGAGAAAAGTACATCTTGAAGCATATAATTTCCCATTTAAGTGGTTTCCTAAGGATACACTTTAGATATCAGACTGAGACAGAGGGGATGAATATTCTAATGTTCAAATTGCCAAATTTCTTTCCAAAAGGAAATTATATCAATTTAAATTGTTACCAGAATTAGAGACTGTACCACTATTGCTATAGTCTCATCACCTTTAAATGTTATCATTGTTTTAATTTGCATCTGTCCATACTCCATCCATCTATTTTGCATACTTGGGGTATATAAGGTAGTCAATATACCGATAAGGAGTTTAGATGCAATGATTTATAGATAAATAATATTTTATTCAGGAAAAAAGTGGCTTTTTGCTCCAAATTTCTAAGGCTTTTGAAATTTACCCATATCTATGATTTAATTGTCTCAATAAAGACTTTTTTATTAGAAAATAATAGTAATTAACAAAAGAATAGGTTTTTCATCTTGTCTGTAAATGACAATCTTCTGCAGGAAAATTACAAAACCAAAAAAAAAAAAAAAAGGCTGGACAATGGGAAATCATTCAAGGGCAGGATTTTCAACATGGTCTCCACACTGCAAGCTAGGAAACCATACTTTTCTAAAATTATTCAAAATCACAGAGATGTTATTAGAGTTTAAATGCTATGTGGCCACCCTTGACATAAGTTTATTTCATTTTAGATTATTAAATAGGAAATATGCCTACTGAACAATAATTAAAAGTATCTGAGAAGTAATGGGCCAAGTTTGTAACAGTAACTTTTCATGGTTGCTTTGAAGGGATGCCCGGAAGTTAGAATTTCTTATAACTTGGGTTGCTTAGAGTAAATTTACACCATCCTAAATCTCTGGTTGGGAATTAGGATTTTGCTTCTTTAGTTCTCCTCAGATAAGAGTGAAGGTGTCCTATCCTGGAGAGATACTCTGTGCTTTCCTAGGTACGTTTTCACCACTACCCTCAAATTGTAATGGTGTAATTATATCATAAATTTCTATCAATAAAGAACTATTAGGGTTAACTTTCTATCAACAAAGAACTATTAGGGTTAACTTTTAGAGGGATATCTATGTTTTGAGGTGATAGCTTAGGGACCTTGTCCAGAAAAATCACAGTCCTGCGTCAGGAACTGGAAATAAAATCGTGCTTCACTGACACTCCTCAGTAATGAATTAGCAAGCTTGTGCAGTAAGCCCAGTAGAACGATGGTAGATGTGTCACACGAACTGTAGTAAGCTCTCCCCTTTTCTAAAATTCTGGATCTTTTATAAACTCTTTGGGAAGGGAACTAAGTTTCATACATTTATCAGTGATTAGGACTCAATATATGAAGTTGGAAGTTTTGGTTTTTATACACAGGTCATATTTCTTTTCCTCTACTCCCATATATAAGCCTGGAGCAGTCAAATTATTTCATCATGGAGAATAAAGGGGCAATATAGACAGCATGTGCTGTGTAGGAAGCAAGGAATATACTACTTATGGCTAACTAGCAAGAACAGTTGTATATTTGCACTGCTTAAGTTCCTTTGGTTATTTCTTAGGTTTGAAACTCTAAAGATAAATGATGGAGAGGTAACATTTTAAAAGGCAGAAATAGATCTACGTATGAACTAGGTTTGGTGGGTGTTGAGTGGGCAGGGGAGCATTGTTCCACCTTCAAAGGGAGCTGTTAATTTCTACATGTTATTACTAAAGGGAGTTCTGTGTATTCCATGATTGGAACAGGGAACCGATTATTTATTTGGTCTGTATATCAGGTTTTAGCCTAGTCATTCTGCTGGTAAGGATTAGTTCTCTCACTCAGCCAAAATGAGACATATTTCACCTGATTGCATGCAATTCTGCTGCTTTGTCCACTGCAGTGCCCTCTGAGCAGCTTCCCATTATTGCAGTCATTTTCAGGTTTTGCTCTAGGATGTGGTGAAAAGGTGCCACATCCAAGAGCATGACTTTTTCTAATCCCAGCCCACACACTGATGTCAAAGTATTTTTGTTCCTTTTCGGGAGCATTATGTTCTTCTACCAGCAGTTGCCAGGAAAGCATGAGGATATTTTGCAATAATGTTTGAAATCTGCATTTTTATTTTTTAGTTGGTATTTCTAGTGTTTATATTTTGAAGGTCAGGTGTGATGTCACATTCTCAGTCATTAGCTATCTACGTATTGCTGAGTATGTAACTCTGCCAAGTTAGTGCCTGCAGTGCCTTCCCAAAATCAGCATGAGGATGATGAGGAGCTACTTGGCCTTTTTTTTGCACATGTAAACGTGCATAGCCAGATGGCAAAAAGCTTCATCAGGGCAAGCACAGAGTCCACTCTAAAGTATCCTACTTCATTGCCACAGCAGGAGATCACCCTAGGAACTGTGATAATAACGAAAAGAGTAAATAGAAAATTGTTCAGTGAATCTTAGTTATTTCATTATTTGTAAGTATTCCTCCTTACAGGAGCCTGCCTACCTGCCTGCCTTTCTTTTTTCTTTCTTCTTCTCTTTTTTCTTTCCTTTCCTATTTTCTTAAATCTTCATGACTCAAAAGACTATTTCATTGCTGGGGATTATTGGTCAAGGGACATCTAATGCTGTTTTCTACTCACAATTAAACAAATGCAAATGTAAAAGCTTCATCATTCAAGGAACATTTATCTCTACATAGGGTATTATGATGGACAATAGGTTGAGATTTAAAAAAAAAATAGCACGGTGATTATTCTTTTGGCAAGCCCTTATAAATTGCTTTCTATGTGCCAAGCAGTTATCACCTTGTTTAATCTTTGTAACAACCCTATATGGACTCTTATTTTACAAGAAAATTGAGACACAGAGAGGTTAAGTAACTTGGCCAAAGTTACAAAGCTGGTAAGGGAGAGAACTGAGATACAAACTCATGCAGTCTGACATTAGACCCTGTGCTCTTGACCCTTGTGCCATGCTGTACTCCCTGGGATGAAATCTCAGTACCGTAGAAGAAGGAGTATATTAATATATGACCATACAGAGCACTATATGATAATGACATAAATGAGGAAAGTGAAAAGGAGTTGAGAGGAGGAGAGAATATCTCGGACAGGTGAATGGGTAGCATCCACACAGGCCTTGGGTGATGAGGTAGGAATTGATGGTAGATACTGACAGTAGATATCAAGAGTAAGAGTTTGCCTTCAGTTACAGGAAACGTCATGAGTAGGAGATACTGGGTCTAGACTGTAGGTTCAGAAAATAAGTAATTTAGTTTAGTTGCATAAAAGGATTGTGTACAGGAGTACAAGATAAGGTAGGCTGCAGCCACATTTTGCAGGCCATTTTGTAGACTGCTGGAATAAGGAGGATGGAGGTTTTTGAGCAGTGAGGTGGTCAGGGCGCTTAACTTGGTGGCATATGAGTTTGAAGAAAGGAATGATAGGAGCAGGAAAATCAGGAAACTGTATTCATTTACTACTGCAACACACATTAATAATATAGCACTTCCTGTGGGTCAGGAATGCAGGCATAGCTTAGGTGTGTCCTCTGCTTAGGGCCTCACAAGCCTACAATCAATGCACAGACTGGAGCTATGGTTTCCTCTAAGGCTCAGCTGGAGAAGGATTCATTTTTGTTAGCAGAATTCAGTAATTTGTGGTTTTGTGCTGAGGACTTCAGTTTCTTGCTTGCTGTTGGACAGAGGCTGCCCTCAGTTCCTTCCACAAATCTCCCAGCATAGGCATCCTACAGCATGGCGACTTGCTTCTCCAAAACCAGCAAGGGAATGAGAGACTTCAGCTCAACAGCACTGGAATCTTACTTACTTAATCACATATGTCCTGTCACTTTTGCCATATTCTGTTGGTCGGAAGCAAATCCAAGGTCACTCCCACACTCCAGAAAAAGGAACTACACAAGGCATGAAAATCAGAAAATAGGAACCATCAGGGTTACTCTAGAGTCTCTCTCCCGCAGAGGCAGAGGCAGGTGATGGGACACACACTCGGAGTCTAAATTAGGATGGTGTTAATGCAAATAGAAAAGTCAGATTCAAGAAATTATGTCTAGGAAATATGGTTTCTTGCCTATATCATGTGAAATTCTTTGTGTACGTTCTCTAACATAAGCATCAAAATAGCCTTTTGAGGTAGGTACCAGGAAAATCCTTATTTCACAGATGATGACACAGCTTTGAGATATTACACCTAGAGGCCACATATATCCTAACTTTACCTGGGTGTCCCAGCCTAGATCTGAACCTAGGATGTCAATACCAAAGCTCCTAGTCTTGGCCACTTTTCTTTACTTGGACTTAAAAGTATAAAGGACCTAAGAGAAGTGGATAAGAGGAAAATGAAAATAACTGCAAGATTTTAAACCATTCCAATTTAGGGTAAGGTGGTGTTAACTAAAATAGAAATGTCATGAGGGGCACTAGTAAAGTAATACTTATGCTATGCATATACCACATGCCAGGCAGTATGCTAAGCATTGAGTGTGCAGATGCTCTATGCTTATCCAGATGGGAATATTTAATGTTCCCAACAGCCCATGATACAGTTCTTTCCCCGATCTCACAGATCAGGAAACAGGACCATGCCAGTGCCCGCTAAACTCAAGGTTCTACAAATGCACTGGTTGGTATTTTGTTCATAACTGTTATTGCTAATGTCTGATGCATAAAAAGTGCTCATTATATAAGCTTTTGAATGAATATGGCTATTAAGTGGTAGAGTCACGATTTGAACTCAGAGCAGCCCCATGCTGCCTTCTGGAGAGGTCATTTCGTTGTAGTCATATTGCATTTGAGGCCATGGCAGGATCTAGATGTTCATAGCAACTCTGCTATTTTAGGTACTTAGGTACCTAAATTCCATCAGTGGAACTTGGAAGAAAGATCAAGGCCAGAATAAACTATTGAGGAGCATCCACATGGAAATTATAAAGTCCTAAAATTAGATGAGATGATTATGAGAGAGGGTATAGGTCCCAAAATAGAACCTTAGAGGACACCTATATTTAGAGGTTGAGAAGAGGAAGAGGCAATTTAAAAAGCAATGAATACATATAGGTCAGAGAGCTAAAATGGAGATACAGATATAAAAGCAAAGAGGGAAGAGAAGGAAGGAGAGTTGTCAGCAATGTCAAGCACCACAGAGTAATCAAAGAGCATCAAGATTAAGACAAGAAACCTGAATTTGTATGTTAGGAGCTAATTGATGACTTTTGTTTGAACACATCCAGGAAAAAGACCACATAAAAGTTAGCCAGCATCTGGGAGGGTGGGAGAGTTGGGCTGTGAAAGAAGGATTGTGTAGTCAGGTAGAGCTCGTGAGTATAAACTTCTGGTATTTCAGGAGAGCTAGTTGTGGTAATATGAGAGGAGTTGAACATTTGAGTAAGAGAGATCTTGTGTATTGTAGACAGAAGGGAAGGCTCAAGTAGGATGAAACTAAATAGGGCAGGAAAAGAAGAGATATTGATGGAACGTGACCCCAGAGGAGGCAGGAGAATGAGATGCAAGAACACTGATAAGAAGGGCAGTCCTCAGAAAGGGTGACAGACTTGTACCACCGGAGGGAGGAAGGAAGCCTACACCCTACAATGTTTTTTAAAAAACTTTCTTTTCTCAAATATTGAGAGAAAAATATAGAAAAGTAGAAGCTGATAGAGAAAAATTGATGTTCAAAGTAATGATCTTCAATTCTTTTAAAAGAATTCCAGTTGTTAAAAGATCTGTTCTTCAGATTCAAATGTATCAAGTCCTACAAAGCATCTCCAAATTCCTGGTTTTATTTTATTTTTCTCAACTGAAATTGATAAATCTTCCAAAAAAAGGAGGTAAGTTCGTCACATAGGAAACAGAAGGAAAGATTTCAGGATTACAAGATAGTAAGAAATATTTTAATTAATTGAGGCAATAGTTGACAAAAGTTTATGGAATGTCTACTCTTAGATAAGCAGATAATTCAGTAGAGAAGACAATAAAGGATAAAATAAGCATCATTAGGGAACCAACTGAGATAAAATGGCATGAACTTTTAATACAGCCCAACAGCATGGTTTCATAACACTGCTCAGTTTCTGAGAAGTGGTTGTTGAAAGAAGTTAATAAGCCACACCGGGTTGGGAACTCAAATGGTGAAAAATGGCAGACAAAAATAGAGGAAGAATGGATTCTAGAGGCTAGTGAAGACAGTATATACTTCATTTTATTGTGTTTGCCATCATTGCACTTCACAGACATTGCATTTTGTTTTACAAACCGAAGGTTTCTGGCAGCCCTGCATCAAGCCAGTCTATTGTCACCATATTTCCAATAGTATGTGCTCATTTAGTGTCTTTATGTCACATTTTGGTAATTCTCACATTATTTCAGACTTTTTCATTATCATATCTGCTATGATGATCAGTGATCTTTAATGTTACTATTGTAATTGTTGTCGGGCATCACAAACTGCACCCGTATAAGACGTCAAACTTAATTATAAATGTTGTGTGTGTTCTGACCACTCCACCAACCAGCTGTTTCCTTCTTTGTCTCCCTCTCCTGGAGCCTCTCTATTCCCTAAGACACTACAGTTAATAACTCTACAATGGCCTCTAAATGTTCAAGTGATAGGAATAGTAGCACGACTCTCACTTTAAATCAAAAGCTAGAAATAATTGAGCTTAATGAGGAAGGCATATTGAAAGCTGAGATAGGCTGAAAGCTAGGCCTCTTGCACCAAATAGCCAAATTGTGACTACAAAAGAAAATTCTTAAAGGATATTAAAAGTGCCACTCCAGTGAACACACAAATGATAAGAAAGTGAAACAGCCTTATTGCCGATATGAAGAAAGTTTGAGTGGTCTGGATAGACGATCAAACCAGCCACAACATTCCCTTAAGCACAAGCCTAATCCAGAATAAGTCTCTAATTCCATTTAATTCTATGAAGGCTGAGAGAGGTGAGGAAGCTGTAGAAGAAAAGTTTGAGGCTAGCAGAGGTTGGTTCATGAGGTTTAAGGAAAGAAGCTGTTTTCACTTCACACCTTGTTGCAAGGTGAGGCAGCAAGTGCTGATGGAGAAGCTGCGTCAAGTTATCCAGAACATCTACCTAAGATAACTAATAAAGGTGATGTATTAGTCTGGTCTCACACTGCTATAAATAACTGCCTGAGACTGGGTAGTTTATAAAGGAAAGAGATTTAATTGACTCACAGTTCTGCAGGGCTGGGGAAGCCTCAGAAAACTTACAATCATGGAGGAAGGGGAAGCAAACATGTCCTCTTCACATGGCGACAGGAAGGAGAAGTGCCAAGTAAAAAGGGGAAAAGCCCATTATAAAACCTTCAGATCTCATGAGAACTCACTCACAATCATGAGAACAGCATGAGGGTAACCACCCCCGTGATTCAATTACCTCCCACTGGGTTTCTCCCACAACGTGGAGACTATGGGAACTACAATTCAAAATGAGATTTGGGTGAAGACACAGCTAAACCATATCAGGTGGCTATACTAAACAACAGATTTTTCAATGTAGATGAAACTGCCTTCTGTTGGAAGAAGATACCATCCAGGACTCTCATAGCTAGAGAGGAGAAGTCAATGTCTAGCTTCAAAGGACAGGCTGGGTCTCTTGTTAGGAGATAATGCAGCTGGTGACTTTTAAGTTGAAGCCAATGCTCATTTGCCGCTCCAAAAATCCTAGAGCCCTTAAGAAGGGCTAAATCTATTCAGCCTGTGCTCTAAAACGAAACAAAAAAACCTGGACGACAGCACTTATATTTACAGCATAGTTTGGAGAATATTTTAAGCCACTATGGAGACCTACTGCTCAGGAAAAGAAAAAAAAGATTCCTTTCAAAATATTACTGCTGATTGACAATGACACTGGTCACTCAAGGGCTCTGATGGAGATGTACAAGATGAATGTTGTTTTCATACCTGCTAACACAGCATCCATTCTGCAGCCCATGGATCAAGGAGTCACTTCAACTTTCAAGTCTTATTATTTAAAAAATGCATTTCATAAGGCCATAGCTGCCATAGATAGTGATTTCTCAGATGGATCTGGGCCAAGTAAAGTGAAAATCTTCTGGAAAGGATTCACTATTCTGGATGCTATTAAAAACATTCGTGATTCATGGGAGGAGGTCAAAATACCAAATGAACAGTTTGGAAGTTTGCAAGAAGTTGTTCCAACCTTTATGGATGACTTTAAAGGGCTGAAGACTTTAGGGGAGAAAGTAACTTCAGATATAGTGGAAAACAGCAAGAGAACTATTGTAGAAGCGAAGCCTAAAGATGTGACTGAATTGCTGCAATCTCATGATAAAACTTGAACGGATAAGGAGTTGTTTCTTAAGGAGGAACAAAGAAAGTAGTTTCTGAGATGGAATCTACTCCTGGTGAAAGTGCTATGAACATTGTTGAAATGATATCAAAGGATTTACAGTATCACACGAACTTAGTTGACAAAGCAGTAGCAGAGTTTGAGAGGATTGACTCCAATTTTGAAAGAAGTTATCTGGGTAAAATGCATGCTACAGAGAAATATTTAGTGAAGGGAAAAGTCAGTCAATTTTGCAAACTTCCCAGTTGTCTTATTTTGAGAAATTGCCACAGCCACCCCAGCCTTCAGCAACTACTACCCTAATCAGTCAGCAGCCCTCAACATTGAGGCAAGACCCTCCACCAAAAAGATGATGACTTGTGAAAGGTGCAGATGATCGTTAGCATTTTTTATCAAAATATTTTAAAATTAAGGTTTGTACATTTTTAGACAATGTTATTGAACACTTAATAGACTGCACTTTCATGGGAACATAACTTTTATATGTAGTGGGAAACCAAAAAATCCGTGTGACCCACTTTATTGCAGTGGTCTGGAACTGACCTCGCAATATCTCCAAGCTATGCCTGTATTGGCGTGGTCTAAGCTGAGCAGTGAGGTAAACGAATACTGAAAGGATAATCCAAAGGCAGATCTGGGTGTAGCACAGATGATCAGAAATGAGGAGATAAACAAAGTGGTGGTTGTGATCAGAAAAGGAAGGCTCAAAGTCTGAAGTAAAATAGTTCCAAATCAAGGAAACTATAAAGTGCTGTCTCTGTAGTGTTGGAGATTAAATAAGGAACTATGAGGCCAATGCATTATACGGAGCACAGAAAACCACACACTGCGTGTTTTCACATATAATTGGGAGCTGAACAATGAGAACACATGGACACAGAGAAGGAAACAATGCACACTAGGGCCTGTGGGGGCTGGGAGGAGGGAGAGCATCAGGATAAATAGCTAATGCACATGGGGCTTAATACCTAGGTGATGGGTTGATAGGCACAGCAAACCACTACAGCACGCATTTACCTATGTAACAAACCTGCACATCCTGTGCATGTGTCCTGGAACTTAAATAAAATAATTTTTTTAAATGAGGCCAATGAATTAAAAATAAATGAATGTGGCAGGGGATGAGAGGAGGTAGACTGAGCAGGCACCCAAATCATCAAGACAGGTGGAATGTTATGATGAGTTCATAAATATGGTAACAATAGGGCTTGGATGACAAGGTTCAAAGATAGAGGTTGAAGGAGACAGAACAATACTCTAAATTGACAATAGGGGATAGGAATGTTTTTGAGTCTGGTAATATCTTCAGGGGCAATTAAGGTAAAGAACTGGAAGTTCAACTTCAGAATGGATCTAAACTGTAGGACCCTTTGCTTTACTATGGATTAAGAAGGCAAGGTCATCAGGGAGTGACTGGTAGAGAAGCAAGGACACGGAGCAGAAAGGGAGAGGGCTATTTGGAATCAGATAGAATCATTTGTTTCCCTCATCCACCCCATCACCCTTTACAGGTTACTCTTCTAATCCTTAAAATAGTCTACAAAGTATTATCCCCATTTTATCAGATGAAAAGTATCTGGCTCTGAAATTTGAATCTTGTCATGATTGCAAATGCCATGGTCTTTTCACTGCCACATACTGACTCTCAGTGGTACTGAAGTGTTACTGCAGCTTCCAGGGACTAATTAGAAATCATGTCTAATTTATGTGAAATGGTTATAAAACACGGTGTCTTTGTTTTGCTCTTGAATTATACTTGGCTGTAAAATTGCTATACAAGCTCGCATATCTAATACTGTATATTTAGTTCTTATTTTTTAAGAAAAACATTTTGGACTCTTAAGACATTAAGGAATTTCCAAATACATAAATATGATCATATTGAATTTCTGCAACTGTAGTCAAAAACATTAAGTTAATACTTATATTGCATTATTTTTCAGGTGTGAAAATGAAACCAAGTTCAAAACAGAAGATATATTTTGGGCTTACAATTTCTGCCCTACTCCATACTCCTGGACTGCACTTCTGGGCCTTATTTTATATCTTGTCTTCTTTGCACCTGGTAAACAAAGACTTTGTTATACTGTTGCATTAATTGAATTGCCTCTTTTTGGAGTAGATAAACTATAATTTTTCAAATTTCTTACATGCTATTTTACTAAAGTTTTTAATGTTTTATTTCTCAGGAATGGGACCAATGCCTTGGACTGTGAATTCTGAAATATATCCCCTTTGGGCAAGAAGTACAGGAAATGCATGTTCATCTGGAATAAACTGGATTTTCAATGTCCTGGTTTCACTAACATTTTTACACACAGCAGAGTATCTTACATACTATGGTAAGATAATATTTTTTCTAACATAGTTTTGTTTTTATTTTTATCACTATTTTTAGATACACTATAATATCATTTGTGATTGAGACTATGTGGTTATATTTTGCTGTTATAAGTATCTCCATGTGGCTTTCTTGTCCTCCAAAGGCATCGGAAATGTGTCTGGGAAAGAAGAGAGGGATTCTCCTATCCTAAACAGCACTGCTTCTTGTTCCACAGTGCTTAGGGCTGTCACCCAACCCCTCTCCCAACTCAGACATCTCCCAGCTATCTCCCCAGGTGGAAGTCTTTACACCATAGCTTTTAGTTTCACAGAAACAAACAAAAAAAAAAAACAGAAAATGGTAAAAAGATGTAGGCAGGGAGTCTAGGGCCAATGAGATGTCCTGTGACAGGCATAGCGTCCAGTCCAAGAGCAGAATCTGCGTAGGGCTGAAAGTAGCTTCCTCAAATGCTTAACAGTATGCTGTGCTGTGGCCATACCTTCCACTGTATCACCTGTGCTGCTCAGGCCAGTGCTTGTGCATTTCAGTGTCCTCTGAGACCAGTACTTACCACTTGCAAAAGTGTAAACATGACGGAAGTATTCAAATGCAAATGTATGGAGGCCATAATTCAAAATGAAAAACAATAGTGCTTAGTGGCTGAGTCAGGAAAAGACTTTGCTTTTTAGAAAAAAGATTTCTGCATTGTTCACATGACTTTATAGGTTGCAATAGGATTATTCATGATGAAGTATGAGGTTTCATTCTAATATCCTCATAAGTCCATGTGGTAGAGACGGAATGCCTGCTGCTTAGACCATTCTCCCAGAAGAGCTTCTCTCATCTCCCCGCAATCTCTTTACTCTGTGCTCTGGCCACTTATCATTTCTCTTTGCAAGAACAGGTTTGTCTGCCCTTAGCTCTCTCTAGTAGACTATAAATCCCTGGAGGGCCAGGACTGTGCCTTGTTCATTGTTACATTCCCAGTTCCTGCCAAGGCATCCTGTTCACCTGATAAGCACCAAAAAGTGTTTGTCAAATGAATAAATACATGGATAAATTTTGCAGATGAATGGTGAATATGATGAAACATTATAAAAATCTATTCCCCATCTCTTCTGACCATGCTGAACTGGTATTTGCTTTTAGTTAATGGTATTTATCTAATGCTTTTATTATCTTCATAAAACTCTTCTCTCTCCTAATCACCACTTAAGACATTTGAAATATTTATTTTCTTGGAAAGGAAATGCACTGGCATTTTAAACTGGATATATATTTAGTATATTCAGCTGGATCCCATTTGGCAATTAAAATTTTTCGATAAATTCATAAACTTATCTTCATGACATAATAAATACGAGCACAATAAATATTTCCTCGTATTTACTGATTCTAGAGAACACTTAAATATTTGAAGACCTAAGTATATGCTCGCATCCTGAGAAAGCATTTTTCATAGAAAGGCATAGACCAAATAATAAAAGTTTACATGATTATACTTTTGACAGCAAAGCTCCTCTTTCTTGAATTTATCCTGCCAGAAAACCAGAGAAAAATGAGGCAACAGTAATGAAATTTAAATAGGGCATAAGCAGAATTCTTTCAAAAATAAACAGTTAAAAGTGTGTTGCTTTGCATTAAGCTTCTCTCATGTCAGAGCACTGGTCCATTTGGTCTACTACTCTCTAGTAGTAGAAAAATAGTTCATTCAGGCTAGTTTTTCTCCCTTTTTGTGTCTCATTTTAATCCACATGTTACTGGTTTATGTAAGCTATGCATTTATATTCCTCATTTAATAAATATACATCCTAATCGTGTATTCCTCTGGAAATAGTTATGTCTTCTTTGTTGCCTCCTTTTTTATTGTTTCATAAGATCTCAAAATTTGATTCCTTCCTCAACCATATTGCTTACACAGGTCTGCCTTGTGCCCCCATTCAATAATGTTTATTACTAAAAAGTATCATTGCTATATCACCAATATGCCATTTTATATACAGCACATGTGGCTAAAGAGATCCCTTGGGGGGCATTATGTCAAAGCTTCTCTCTTGAGGTAGTCAATTTGTGTAATTCAATTAAATAGTTGTTTTAATCTGGAACTTAATGTAGGGCTCTAATAAGATTTAAATCCTTAGAAGAATAAAGGTGAGGAATATCTAACTGTTCAATAGTCCTGATGGACTCGTTACAGACATTTTTTCTTGCCATTTTCACTCCAAGGGAGGAATAAATGAGAAACTGAGATAGTGACTGATTTGACCATGACATGGACCAGGTCACAGCCTCCCAGGTCTGCCCACACTCCTCCACGACTTAGCCACAGGTCTAACCATTGGAACCCACACTGAGTAGGCAGTTTTGGCATTTGCGTGCTTTGGATTCCTCAGATTTTGTAAAACGGTCTTGTATTTTAATAGCAATTCCTTGATATTATTCAGCTTTGGGAATCCAGGTCACAAGAAAGAATCTGTAATCAACTTCAGGAATCTTCCTAACCCAACAAATGTTTTTTAACTATAGGAGTGAGTTTAGCGCTGACAGATTTGATTTGTTACTTCTAATTATGCTACTGTTCCCAAATTGTGAAAGATAATGATGAAGATAAAATATACTATTATATTTAAAAGTCAAACTGGGTTTGCTGTTACAGATTTTGTAGTTTAGAAGCCTAGTTTAATCTAAAATGTTTTACCATCTGTACTTATTTTTTCTTTATCTTCATCATAATTACTATCCCGTCTTTGTCCCTCCCTGCTAAAGATTCCATTTCTCTTCCTACCTCCACAGTCTTGCATATCTGTACTCAGAACACAGGACTTCATCTCCTTTCATTTTTTTTTTGTCAAAATTCCCCCATTCTCCAAGAGCTAGCTTATCAGTATCACCCTTTTTGTAAAAACATCCCAATTAATTAGTCACACTAATCTTATTCTGTATCTTAATAGCAACTCTTCCTTTCCTGGTCATTTAGTAGAATTTAACAATCTGGGCATCACTTTTTTGAGCAACTGATATTCAGAATTCTAATGGGCATGATAACATACATTATTTCTATTCTTTACAGTTGGGCAAAGCTAGAATTATTTTCCCCATTACACAGATCAAGTCTCTCTCTCAACCATCTCTTAACTATATCTCCTATACATGCCCCTGATTTTGGCTGTAAGATTTACAGAATCATAAACTGCCAACACTTAAGTAGGAGCTGAGAAGCCCCCTTATTTTACTTAATGAGGCAACAGAGGCCCAGAGAAGAGGTTAAATGACTATCCAGAAGTCACATGGCCAACACTTAAACTCAGTTCTTCCCACTCCCAGTCTGATATCCTTTCTCCAGCCAATTGTCACATTAGTTTTTCATCTTACTTCCCCCATCTCATACACATGATGGTCTGGACTGAAAGCCTAAAATTAGACAGGGGCTCCATTTTACTTTGTTGTTTTCCACCATCAAAAGTACAAGTATAGTTTCTTATATTCAAATTGGCAATTCAATTATGTGTGTGTGTGTGTGTGTGTTTGGTAGAGACAGGTTTCACCATGTTGGCCAGGCTGGTCGGAATTCAATTATTTTAAAAGTCCATCTTGGAAATGTGTAGAGAATATAAACAAGTCATACATTCATATATCTCATCCATCTAGGCTTGCTATCATGACCCTTAGAAAACCAAACTAGCTAATATTTATGTGTTTCTGGCTGTTCTGCATTGACATGCATAATCTTACAGCAAAACAAAATTCTCTGACTTCATGGAGTTTACATTCTAGTGGAGGGAAATGAAAAACAAATTAAGAAAGGAACTTCTTCTGACCTCAAAGTGCCTCTAGTGTAATAGACAAGGCAAGCATACGTGTGTGTACATAATTATAATATTTCTTGGTTGTTATTTTAGGGGTCTCAACAACATGCTGTGATAGCACATGGAAGAGAATAATTCCCTCTAGTCAGGGAAGGGAGGAAAGGCTTCAAAGCCAAACTTACATCTGAGCCTGTTCTATTATTCTTGAGTTTCTAAACTTGAGTTTAGAAAGATACATTACATCATATTCTCAGAGTTGGAACAATTGGAGTAAACCAGGTTCATAGTAATTTTTTGGTCCATTTCATACTGTGATTATGCATGACTGACCAGAAAAAAAAAGTCAAAATCAAGTAATCTTTCCAACTTAAGCCTCTCTCTATATATTCATATTCATGTATCTATTATATTCCGTTGCAGGAGCTTTCTTCCTCTATGCTGGATTTGCTGCTGTGGGACTCCTTTTCATCTATGGCTGTCTTCCTGAGACCAAAGGCAAAAAATTAGAGGAAATTGAATCACTCTTTGACAACAGGCTATGTACATGTGGCACTTCAGATTCTGATGAAGGGAGATATATTGAATATATTCGGGTAAAGGGAAGTAACTATCATCTTTCTGACAATGATGCTTCTGATGTGGAATAATTTTCAGCTGCTCATATATTTAGTTATTTAAACAAACTGGGGGGAGAAGAACAGCAATTGGTGACTTCACTGCCCTGCTTCTAATCTGGTTCTTTCCACAGCCTAGTTTTGATTGACTTCATATTCTAGAATACTTGATTAGGAGGAAGATACAACCATGATGACTTTTTTTTTCCACAAGGAACAATATTTTAAAAAATATTTACAGAGATTTTAATCTAATAATTCTTAAGCAAATGTGTGTAATGCCTTCCTGAAATAGTCTAAAATGAATATTGTACCCAGTGACTTCAGTGGTATCCTTTTTTCCTAAGACCATTTATAATTATTAGTGGCAACAGAGTCAGTGCTAATCTAGCCAAATTACATATGTATAATATATTTATAAAGGATTCTGGGAGATGGTCCAAGGGTGTTCTGTGTCAAAAGATGGCCTATTGGCCCTCAGTTTTCCTACAGAGTAGTGGCTTATCTCTGATCAGCTGTTACAAACTAAATTCCATGTAAGCTTTCATCAACAAATTCCAAAGTGCCTCCTACAAGGGCACAGCTGTCCGTATCTCCTTTGGATTCCATATTTTTGTTTCTCTCCAATTCAGATATTGGGAGTTCTTCAGATACTGACTCTGCACACTATCTTTTGAACATTATGAAAATATAATCTGTCGGGTTGTTTTCATACTTCTTTTTTTTGCATCAGTGATAAGGCATACATTTGCGCAGATGAGCTAGGAAGTTTTGAGAAGTACCTTTTATGTTCAGAAAGTAACAGATTAAAGGTTTTTATGGGTTCCAAATTGGTTAGTCACTTAGGTATGCAATTATAAATGCAAAATAGTGCCAGATCTTTAACTGTATATCAGGGTCAGTTTTTGTTCATGCCCAAATCACTACACCTTCCTCATTGGCCTTGGAGTCCTACTATTTCGTGCCTTCATTTGTGTTACATACATAGCTGCAAGCAAACCATTTTTCCCCTTTCTTTTATTCAAACAATAATTTTTGAAACAAAAAAGAGGAAGGAAATCAGTGGCAGAAATAATCCTGCTGTTATTGGTGTTTGTTTAATAAAAATAATGGGACTTTTTTCTTAACTTTTTATTAGCTCTTCCTAAGGGAAATGTCACATATTATTATTTAATTGTACTTGTCTTTTTTTACTTTAAGAGCATAAACTCGTTTTTATTTTGCACACTTTTCTCATTTTCCTGAGAATTTACCAGAAAAAAAAAAGATACATAGATTTGTCTCTGTGTTTTTCTTATTCTTGGCTTAGTTTTTCCTTCTTGTGTAAAAATTGAGATTGCCTATTGGAACAGATAATTGGTTCTAATATAGCACGTCTATAAGAAATGCAGGCTTAATTATATTTCCACAATGTCTTTCCAAGGTATTCATTGGTTTTTATGGTAATTCATCACTGAACTCTTAATTTTTGCTTTTCTATTAAGAACTATATAGTATGTACAAAATTACTTGATCACAAAATTACTTGCTAGTTCCAGGAAAAATATGAATGAATCTTCTGTGGCCAGTTAGGAATACATCAGTTTGATGCATTTTTAAATGGCTCTAAACATCTAATAAGGTACTGTATTTGGAGAGAAAAGGTGGCTATCTCCATATTCAAAATATTTCTTCCAGTCTCCAAGATACTCTATTCTTTTAATGTCTGGCTTGTTCCTATCACAGTTATCAAGCTGAGAATACAGCTGAGGAAGTTCATTCTCTAAGTCACCAGAGGTATAATATGTGCTTAAACTGTCAATTTAGTGCCCTAAAAATCCATTAACCAAAAACAAAAACGTTTTCTCCCTTTGGTCATTTCATATAATAAAAAAAATTAATATTTTATAGAGGTTTTTTCCTTGAATTAGGTGCTTTAA
This sequence comes from Homo sapiens, assembly GCF_000001405.40. Classification (NCBI taxonomy): domain Eukaryota; kingdom Metazoa; phylum Chordata; class Mammalia; order Primates; family Hominidae; genus Homo; species Homo sapiens. Next base: position 39,758,139 of record NC_000012.12, on the reverse strand, counting down.
CAATTGATTTCCAAGGGAATATTAGTATTGATTTTTTCCTCAGAAAAGCAGATATGATTTAATAGGGAAAATTATTATTCTATTGATATTTCTTATCTCATAAGAAATTTCTTATCTAATATTTTACACAGGTAAATTGAAGTGAAAAATAAGCTACTATATGGTACAATCAAAATATAATAAGGAGAAAAAGTAGACCAATAAAGTGCTCTCTAAAAATTTATTTTTTGGACTTAATCAAAATAATTGCCTCAATCCTTCTCTTTATTGTATATGTAGCCTTAACTAACTATATACTTATAAACTCAGCTGGGCTGATGCACAGTAACTTTATTAAAGGAGAAACTGGACTCTTGTTATTTCCTAAAGCAGAACATGGCCTGTTCTCCCTGATATAAGAAAACAATGTTTTCAACTTTATAACCATAAATGCACATAATAACAGGGAAAATTAGCCACAGTTCTCCTCCCCTACTCCCCTGAGCCCCTACTTTAAAGGACTATTTGTTATTTATATAGTGTTAAAGATAATATTCCATATCTTTGAAGTATAAGACAGAGAGGCACAGTATAAGAATTATTTATAACTTTTTAGAAACAATTACTTGAAAAGGAACCTTATACAATTAGGGTATTATTTTTAGATTTGGTGAACATTTATAGTATATTAAAAATTAAATGTTTAAATTTTGCAGGTTTTTTTATATTAGGCACCTTTTAAGTTCCCAGCATATTTGGCTACCACTATCAACTTGGAAACATTCCATTTGTAGTATCATCAAATATATATTTTGTAGGACAATTTATATATGATGTGATTTGACCTACCATATTAAAGCAGACACAGATTACGTATCATGCTTTCAACCAAAATTACAGACTTCCTTTGAAACATGCTGCAGATTTGATAGAGGTATATTATGTCTTAGGAAAATACAATGAAGAAGGTCCAAATCCCTATTGAGGCTGGATGTCTGATCTGCACTAGACTTAAGAGGATATATCATTTCATCTGCATATAAACACATAGGGCTGAATGTGATGTCAAAAGGGTTTGCCGTTAATAATTTTCTTCAATGTAAACATTCCTAATAATTTTGATTGTTGCTCCTTAGTCAATCATTTCCCAAAACATGATTATTTTTAATATATGTAAAATATTTAAATAATAAATAATAAAAGGTAATGTGTCCATTTTAAATTTTGTTCCCAGCCATACACAGTAGTTCCCTGATACAAAATGCTATGAGAATACCGACTATTTTTTCATAATTTAATTTTACCACTGAACCTGATTTTAGTACATAAGAGTCTAAATATTAAGTTATTCACTCTAAAAGGGGAAATCAGTAAAAGCAAGGAATTTATGAAATTTTTGCTGTAATTTCAGTATCTGTTATACAGGGGAAGAATGATCAGGAAAAATATAAGCTGACAACTTACCCTTTTGCTTTTTAACAACAAAATAATATTGAAAATATATTAGAATAACTCACAGATCCAGAAGTTGGTGGAAATGGAAGAATGTTTTAGAAAATACCATCCATATGTTTATCTAAGAAAGTCTCAGAATTTAGTGACACTAATACAGTTCATAAATACTGTAATACAGTGGAGAGAGTTGGAATGTTATTTTGGTTTTATTTCATCAGCACAATTATTAAAAACAACAAAATTAATGAGACGTTTTGTTATAATCAGATTTTTTTTTACCATATTGCAAGTTATAAAATGTCAACTTATACTAAGTACCTAACAACTGACTTTTATTCACTTGTTGTGACAAGTTTTTAATTACCAAATTAAGACCTTTTCAGTATCTATGAGTAAAAGAAATAGATGATTATATCAGACCAGGAGCAGAGAATTTATAATATGTGCTTTATAGCAAAATGTATTAAATTGTGGTTAAAATTTATAGCTCATATGTAGCTGCTGCCAATAAGAAGGCTCAGAATTGTTCTGTGGATTAATTTTTACATCCTGTTTTCTGTCACTTTTACCAATCTTCTTGGCCTCATGTACAATAATGTAAAGCCAATTTGATGAAATGGTTCAGGTTGTAGCAGTCTATAAATTGTCGGTACATTCAGCTCTTCTAGGTGAGCAATACTGCTGCTATTTTTCTAGAAATAGCAATCATTTAAAAATGCCAAATAGCTAACTGCTACCAACTCTTTCTTGTATCTTGTCTCTTTAGAGAAGGAAATTTTTGTGTGCCAGTAATCATCAAAGAGGTGTTTTATAAGAGTGTTGATGTTCAGAAGTTCATGAAAGTATTTTATCCGTATAATTTGCTAGTGAGCTAAAACAATATAATTTATGTAAATCTTTATATGTACAAAATATATAGTCTGTTGTACTTGAGTAATTTGGTCTATGGAATTTTAAATGCCTTCATTTAGCAGTAATATTCACATTTTTATTTTAGACAGTTAAGTTCATGTGTTTGATTTTGTCATGTCAGCATAAATGAGAAAAAGAAGTGGATCATGCAGCTAATGAGTAACCAACATTTTGTAAAGTTTTAAAGTTTTAGCAAACAACATTATTCCATCTCATTTAAAGGTTAAAAAAGAAGAGACAACTCTAGCCAAAGTAGAAATTTATATTCTACACGTCCAAACTGTCTCCTAGCAGCTTTTGGACTATATATCACTTGATGTTAAAGTATCTTTTATTTGTAATAAATATTCAAATTTCTATTTAGAAGCTCTAATGTATACCTAGATTAAATCAAATCACAGTTTTATGCTTTTAAAATATATGTATTTCAAACTGTATATTTTAATTTCTGAGTGCATGTTATATAGTATTTAATACTTCAGATGTCTTGGCAAATTCAATATAAGTATTTATTCCCACAAGCGATATATGGGATATCTCTTAAAAATTATGAATATGTACCATTTCCTTCAAAGTCATCCTAGCCTATGCTGTATCAAAAGTATTGTATATTTTATGGAGATTTAGTGATATACATGTAAATGTTTTTTAAGTTATTTTATTGAAGTTCAATCTTTACATAAAATTAAAATCTTTTTTTAAAAAAAGTGTCAGTGCCAGAACTGTAAATGAAAATAATCAAATAAAAGTTAAAATAATTCATTACTCATTAACTTCCCTTGCACTTATTTATTTTTTCTAGTTATCTTCCTTGGATGTAGGTTAGATGATAGTTAAAGCATCTAGAAAGACAATCTACCTCTATATATTAATGCAGTCCTACTCATTTTAATGATATTTTATTTCTTTTGATTATGGATATGATAAATCATCTTTTAAAAATATTTTATAATACCTAAAAATTGTTCTAAAGAATTATTCTAAATACTGAATATAAAACTGTGAAATGTGGTGCTTAGGAACCCTTGAAGTAATAATTATAGTTATTGTCAGAACCAGATGTTGACATGAACCATTAAGTTGAGTTGTCAAAAATTATCTTTGGTGGTGGTTCTGTAAGTGAAAATGAACAATCGTGCTGGAAGGCCAGTTGACAGTTCTTTTTGGGACTCCGTTGCTCTCCCTTGCCATTCTGCCTCAATCATAGCTATAATTAGCAAATATACACTTGTTTGATATTGGCAGTTGCTAGACACGTGTCCATAATTAGTTGTGTGTCTTCCTGAGCCTGACTTAGAAATAGCCCAAGGAGATCTTCTGAAGACTCTAGACCTACTGTCATTCAAAGGCTTACAGTTGAGTTACATCTAACTAAGGTTCTTAACGTCAGCAGGTAAGGCAAAAATCCAAGTCAAATGACCCTTGAAAATCCCACGAATTACACATAAATTGTCCACTCACCTGAATAACGGACACCTGAATAGTGCAGAACATGTCAGTATCAGTGGGCAGAAAAATCCTCATTTAATTGTCCAATCCTGTGGAATAAACATTGTCATCCTTTTCCAGGTACTAAAACTTAAGTTCAAAACATTTTTGTCACTTGCCCAAGATCACACTAGAAAGTCATAGAAAACTCTTCTTTGCAGTGACTACACCAAAAGTCTTCCCCTCTATGTCCTCCTTTGGAACATCTTTTCAGACCCAGGCAGATAGATTAAAAACAGAAAGAAATTGTGGAATCCTTGCATTGTAAAAGAGTGCATATGGATTACAGGAACAAATCCTGAAAAATCTTCATTTAGAGACTCTTGTCAAATGTGAGGCAATATAATGCATTGTCTAAGAGGTCAGACTGAATTCAAATCATTTAGATTTGAATCCCAGCTTTTCAACTTACTGCCTAGTAACCTAAATTACTGAACCACTCATTGCCTCACTTTCATTGTCTATAAAATGAGATGCTACTACCGTCTACCTCACTTGTGTGTAGTGAAGGTTATCAATGAATCATGGAAAGCAAGTAGAGCAGTAGCATATAGTAAGGACTGGATAACTGTTAGCTTTTGTTTTCATCATCCATATCCTATCCCTGATGCTACTAAGGTCACAATGTTCAAAGCACAGGCAATTTGCTTATAAAATCCTTTCCTGAGAACAACTACTAGGAACAGGAGCACATTGGCTTCTTTGACATATGTCCTCCCAGCTCAGCTGACCAGAATGATTTGAGCTGATCTGGCTGACTAGCCTGATGTCCTTCTTCCTTTCTCCATCTCTTTTCCATATGTGTCCTCCTGAATGGCAGTTGATGAAAAGAACAACCTTCCCATATTCTCCAGATTAACAGGATTTAATACACAATTTCTGTGATCTCACAGTCAAGAAATAAAAATAAGTTTAGAAAATCAGTAATCTCTCATTTAAAGTCTTTTCAATGTTTTAAAAAGTAATTTTTGAAACCTGATTCAAACAAAAACCGTGACATTAACCCTCTCTAATTGGCTGTATTGAAATTAAGCTCATCTTACTATAGATGCTTTGAATGCAGTATAAAACATTGAGGCTACTTCTTTTAACCTTTAATGTTTTGTGTACTTTTCCACTGCACCTCCAAAAACTAATTTCAGATCATCAGCATGCAGTCTAGTCTTTAACAAAAAAGAAAATTTTGTTATGCTTTACTTTTAGCAAATAGATACTAAACTCACAAAACATACGTTAGAGCAGCAGTTCTCCAAGCATGGTCCTCAGACTAGTAGCATTGGCATCACCTGAGTGTGTTACAAATGCAAATCTGCGGGCCTCGCCACCTGCTGAATCAGATTCTCTGAGGATACAGCTCAGGAAGCCATTTTCAACAACTCTGCAGGTGATTTTTCAGCACACAATAGTTTAGAAACCACTGCATAGAAGTTGGGAGTCATGACTTTAAAAAGGAATCTGACATGTTCTTTTAAATGGTGAGCTCATCTAGTGAATAATAAAATGATTGACTGGATTTACATGCAAGTTACTCAGGGATTTGTAAAACTGTCTTATTTCCACCTCAGGGAACTTGCACACGATGTTGTCTCTGCCTGGTATGCTTGTTGCCCTATTCTTTGTTTATCCAGTTCTTTTCTTGTGATTTTCAGCTCAAAATCCTGTCTTCTCAGAGCCTGCTTTGACTCTGTGTAATGCAATCATGCCTTTCACCCGAATACATTACCAAGTCACTCTTTCATTTTCTTCATGGTATCATTATTTGAAGACTATTACTTTTCTTATCCCTTGCCTGTTTCTCCCACCAGAACAGCGGTCCTCAAACTTTTTGGCACAAGGGACCGGTTTCATGGAAGACAATTTTTTCCATAGACCTAGGAGGTTGGGGATTGATGGGGGAATGGTGTTGGGATGAAACTGTTCCGCCCCAGATCACCAGATATTCAATTCTCATAAGGACTGCACAACCTAGATCCCTTGCATGCACAGTTCACAATAGGGTTTGTGCTCCCATAAGAGTCCACTGATCTGACAAGAGGCAGAGTTCAGCTGGTAATGCTCACTTGCCCATCGCTCACCTCCTGCTGTGTGGCTTGGTTCCTAATAGGCCACAAACCAATATGCGTCCATGGCGTGGGCACTGAGGATTCCACGCTAGAAGATACACTGCATGAAAGCATGGAACTTATTCACTACTGCCTCTCTAGCACCTCCTACAGTGCCTGGCATATAGTATGTGATCAACAAATTTCTTTTTTTTATACTTTAAGTTCTAGGATACATGTGCACAATGTGCAGGTTTCTTACATATGTATACATGTGCCATGCTGGTGTGCTGCACCCATTAACTCATCATTTACGTTAGGTATATCTCCTAATGCTTTCCCTCCCCCTTCTCCCCATCCCACAACAGGCCCTGGTGTGTGATGTTCCCCTTCCTGTGTCCAAGTGTTCTCATTGTTCAATTCCCACCTATGAGTGAGAACATGCGGTGTTTGGTTTTTTGTCCTTGTGATAGTTTGCTGAGAATGATGGTTTCCAGCTTCATCCATGTCCCTACAAAGGACATGAACTCATCCTTTTTTATGGCTGCATAGTATTCCATGATGTATACGTGCCACATTTTCTTAATCCAGTCTATCATTGATGGACATTTGGGTTGGTTTCAAGTCTTTGCTATTGTGAATAGTGCCGCAATAAACATACATGTCCATGTGTCTTTATAGCAACATGATTTATAATTCTTTGGGTATATACCCAATAATGGAATGGCTGTGTCAAATGGTATTTCTAGTTCTAGATCCTTGAGGAATCGCCACACTGTCTTCCACAATGGTTGAACTAGTTTACAGTCCCACCAACAGTGTAAAAGTGTTCCTATTTCTCCACATCCTCTCCAGCACCTGTTGTTTCCTGACTTCTTACTAATTGCCATTCTAACTGGTGTGTGAGATGGTATCTCATTGTGGTTTTGATTTGCATTTCTCTGATGGCCAGTGATGATGAGCATTTTTTCATGTGTCTGCTGGCTGCATAAATGTCTTCTTTTGAGAAGTGTCTGTTCATATCCTTTTTGATGGAGTTGTTTTTTCCTTGTAAATTTGTTGGAGTTCATTGTACATTCTGGATATTAGCCCTTTGTCAGATGAGTAGATTGCAAAAATGTTCTCCCATTCTGTAGGTTGCCTGTTCGCTCTGATAGTAGTTTCTTTTGCTGTGCAGAAGCTCTTTAGTTTAATTAGATCCCATTTGTCAATTTTGGCTTTTGTTGCCATTGCTTTTGGTGTTTTAGACATGAAGTCCTTGCCCATGCCTATGTCCTGAATGGTATTGCCTAGGTTTTCTTCTAGGGTTTTTATGGTTTCAGGTCTAACATGTAAGTCTTTAATCCATCTTGAATTAATTTTTGTATAAGGTGTAAGGAAGGGATCCAGTTTCAGCTTTCTACATATGGCTAGCCAGTTTTCCCCACATCATTTATTAAATAGGGAATCGTTTCCCCATTTCTTGTTTTTGTCAGGTTTGTCAAAGATCAGATGGTTGTAGATGTGTGGCATTATTTCTGAGGGCTCTGTTCTGTTCCATTGTTCTATATCTCTGCGTTGGTACCAGTACCATGCTGTTTTAGTTACTGTAGCCTTGTAGTATAGTTTGAAGTCAGGTAGTGTGATGCCTCCAGCTTTGTTCTTTTGGCTTAGGATCGACTTGGCAATGCGGGCTCTTTTTTGGTTCCATATGAACTTTAAAGTAGTTTTTTCCAATTCTGTGAAGAAAGTCATTGGTAGCTTGATGGGGATGGCATTGAATCTATAAATTACCTTGGGCAGTATGGTCATTTTCACAATATAGATTCTTCCTATCCATGAGCATGGAATGTTTTTCCATTTGTTTGTGTCCTCTTTTGTTTCATTGAGCAGTGGTTTGTAGTTCTTGAAGAGGTCCTTCACATCCCTTGTAAGTTGGATTCCTAGGTATTTTATTCTCTTTGTAGCAATTGTGAATGGGAGTTCACTCATGATTTGGCTCTCTGTCTGTTATTGGTGTATAAGAATCCTTGTGATTTCTGCACACTGATTTTGTATCCTGAGACTTTGCTGAAGTTGCTTATCAGCTTAAGGAGATTTTGGGCTGAGACAATGGGTTTTTCTAAATACACAATCATGTCATCTGCAAACAGGGACAATTTGACTTCCTCTTTTCCTAATTGAATACACTTTATTTCTTTCTCCTGCCTGATTGCCCTGGCCGGAACTTCCAACACTATCTTGAATGGGAGTGGTGAGAGAGGGCATCCCTGTCTTGTGCCAGGTTTCAAAGGGAATGCTTCCAGTTTTTGCCCATTCAGTATGATATTGGCTGTGGGTCTGTCATAAATAGCTCTCATGATTTTGAGATACGTCCCATCAATACCTAATTTATTGAGAGTTTTTAGCATGCAGGATTGTTGAATTTTCTCAAAGGCCTTTTCTGCATCTATTGAGATAATCATGTGGTTTTTGTCTTTGGTTCTGTTTATATGCTGGATTACTTTTATTGATTTCCGTATGTTGAACCAGCCTTGCATCCCAGGGATGAAGCCCACTTGATCATGGTGGATAAGCTTTTTGATGTGCTGCTGGATTTGGTTTGCCAGTATTTTATTGAGGATTTTTGCATCTATGTTCATCAGGGATATTGGTCTAAAATTCTCTTATGTTGTGTCTCTGCCAGGCTTTGGTATCAGGATGATGCTGGCCTCATAAAATGAGTTAGGGAGGATTCCCTCTTTTTCTATTGATTGGAATAGTTTCAGAAGGAATGGTACCAGCTCCTCCTTGTACCTCTGGTAGAATTCGACTGTGAATCCATCTGGTCCTGGAATTTTTTTGGTTGGTAGGCTATTAATTATTGCCTCAATTTCAGAGCCTGTTACTGGTCTATTTAGAGATTCAACTTCTTCTTGGTTTAGTCTTGGGAGGGTGTATGTGTCGAGGAATTTATCCATTTCTTCTAGATTTTCTAGTTTATTTGTGTAGAGGTGTTTATAGTATTCTCTGATGGTAGTTTGTATTTCTGTGGGATCGGTGGTGATATCCCCTTTATCATTTTTTGTTGTGTCTATTTGATTCTTCTCTCTTTTCTTCTTTATTAGTCTTGCTAGTGGTCTATCAATTTTTTTGATCTTTTCAAAAAACCAGTTCCTGGATTCATTGATTTTTTGAAGGGTTTTTTGTGTCTCTATCTCCTTCAGTTCTTCTCTGATCTTAGTTATTTCTTGCCTTCTGCTAGCTTTTGAATGTGTTTGCTCTTGCTTCTCTAGTTCTTCTAATTGTGATGTTAGGGTGTCAATTTTAGATCTTTCCTGCTTTCTCTTGTGGGTATTTAGTGCTATAAATTTCCCTCTACACACTGCTTTAAATGTGTCCCAGAGATTCTGGTATGTTGTGTCTTTGTTCCAATTGGTTTCAAAGAACATCTTTATTTCTGCCTTCATTTCATTATGTACCCAGTAGTCATTCAGGAGCAGGGTGTTCAGTTTCCATGTAGTTGAGTGGTTTTGAGTGAGTTTCTTAATCTTCAGTTCTAGTTTGGCTGCACTGTGGTCTGAGAGACCATTTGTTATAGTTTCTGTTCTTTTACATTTGCTGAGGAGTGCTTTACTTCCAACTATGTGGTCAATTTTGGAATAAGTGCAGTGTGGTGCTGAGAAGAATGTATATTGTGTTGATTTGGGGTGGAGAGTTCTGTAGATGTCTATTAGGTCTGCTTGGTGCAGAGCTGAGTTCAATTCCTGGATATCTTGTTAACTTTCTGTCTCATTGATCTGTCTAATGTTGACAGTGGGGTGTTAAACTCTCCCATTATTATTATGTGGGAGTCTAAGTCTCTTTCTAGGTCTCTAAGAACTTGCTTTATGAATCTGGGTGCTCCTGTATTGGGTGCATATATATTTAAGATAGTTAGCTCTTCTTGTTGAATTGATCCCTTTACCATTATGTAATGGCTTTGTCTCTTTTGATCTTTGTTGGTTTAAAGTGTGTTTTATCAGAGACTAGGATTGCAACCCCTGCCTTTTTTTATTTTCCATTTGCTTGGTAGATCTTCCTCCATCCCTTTATTTTGAGCCTATGTGTGTCTCTGAATGTGAGATGGGTCTCCTGAATACAGCACACTGATGGGTCTTGACTCTTTATCCAATGTGCCAGTGTCTTTTAATTGGAGCATTTAGCCCATTTACATTTAAGGTTAATATTGTTATGTGTGAATTTGATCCTGTCATTATGATGTTAGCTGGTTATTTTGCTCGTTAGTTGATGCAGTTTCTTCCTAGCCTCAATGGTCTTTACAATTTGGCAAGATTTTGCAGTGGCTGGTACCGGTTGTTCCTTTCCATGTTTATTGCTTCCTTCAGGAGCTCTTTTAGGGCAGGCCTGGTGGTGACAAAATCTCTCAGCATTTGCTTGTCTGTAAAGGATTTGATTTCTCCTTCACTTATGAAGCTTAGTTTGGCTGGATATGAAATTCTGGGTTGAAAATTCTTTTCTTTAAGAATGTTGAATATTGGCCCCCACTCTCTTCTGGCTTGTAGAGTTTCTGCTGAAAGATCAGCTGTTAGTCTGATGGGCTTCCCTTTGTGGGTAACCCAACCTTTCTCTCTGGCTGCCCTTAACATTTTTTCCTTCATTTCAGCTTTGGTGAATCTGACAATTATGTGTCTTGGAGTTGCTCTTCTCGAGGAGTTATCTTTGTGGCGTTCTCTGTATTTCCTGAATTTGAATGTTGGCCTGCCTTGCTAGGTTGAGGAAGTTCTTCTGGATAATATCCTGCAGAGTGTTTTCCAACTTGGTTCCATTCTCCCCATCACTTTCAGGTACACCAATCAGACATAGCTTTGGTCTTTTCACATAGTCCCGTATTTATTGGAGGCTTTGTTCATTTCTTTTTACTCTTTTTTCTCTAAACTTCTCTTCTCACTTCATTTCATTCATTTGATCTTCAATCACTGATACCCTTTCTTCCAGTTGATCAAATTGGCTACTGAAGCTTGTGCATTCGTCATGTAGTTCTCATGCCATGGTTTTCAGCTCCATCAGGTCATTTAAGGACTTCTCTACACTGGTTATTCTAGTTAGCTATTCATCTAATCTTTTTTCAAGATTTTTAGCTTATTTGTGATGGGTTTGAACTTCCTCCTTTAGCTCAGAGAAGTCTGATCATCTGAAGCCTTCTTCTCTCAACTTGTCAAAGTCATTCTCTGTCCAGCTTTGTTCCATTGCTGGTGAGGAGCTGCATTCCTTTGGAGGGGGAGAGGTGCTCTGATTTTTAGAATTTTCAGCTTTTCTGCTTTGTTTTTTCCCCATCTTTGTGGTTTTATCTACCTTTGGTCTTTGATAATGGTGATGTACAGATAAGTTTTTGGTGTGGATGTCCTTTCTGTTTCTTAGTTTTCCTTCTAACAGTCAGGACCCTCAGCTGCAGGTCTGTTGGAGTTTGCTGGAGGTCCACTCCAGATGCTGTTTGCCTAGGTATCAGCAGCGGAGGCTGCATAACAGCGAATATTGCTGAACAGCAAATGCTGCTGCCTGATCATTCCTCTGGAAGCTTCGTCTCAGGGGGGCACCCAGCCGTGTGAGGTGTCAGTCTGCCCCTACTTGGGGGTCCCTCCCAGTTAGGCTACTCAGAGGTCAGGGACCCACCTGAGGAGGCAGTCTGTCCGTTCTCAGATCTCAAACTCTCTGCTGGGAAAACCACTACTCTCTTCAAAGCTGTCAGACAGGGACATTTAAGTCTGCAGAGGTTTCTGCTGCCTTCTGTTCGGCTATGTCCTGCCCCCAGAGGTGGAGTCTACAGAGGCAGGCAGGCCTCAGTGAGCTGAGGTGGGCTCCACCCAGTTCGAGCTTCCCGGCAGTTTTGTTTACCTACTCAAGCCTCAGCAATGGTGGGCACCCCTCCCCCAGCCTCACTGCTGCCTTGCAGTTTGATCTCAGTGAGCAATGAGTGAGGTTCCATGGCCGTGGGATCCTCCAAGCCAGGCATGGGACATAATCTCCTGGTGTGCCATTTGCTAAGACCATGGGAAAAGTGCAGTATTAGGGTGGGAGTGACCTGATTTTCCAGGTGCCGTCTGTCACCCCTTCCCTTGGCTAGGAAAGGGAATTCCCTGACCCCTTGCGCTTCCCAGGTGAGGCAGTGCCTCACCCTGCTTCTGCTCACGCTCGGTGGGCTGCACCCACTGTCCTGCCCCCCACTGTCCGATGAGCCCCAGTGAAATGAACCCAGTACCTCAGTTGGAAATGCAGAAATCACCCATCTTCTGCGTCGCTCATGCTGGGAGCTGTAGACTGGAGCTGTTCCTATTCAACCATCTTGGAACCGGACCCTGTGCTCAATAAATTTTTAAAAATGAATAGGTCCATGCATCTCAAGCATTCCTGCAGTCAGCAAAGGAATAGCGGAAGTTTTTCCCAGGCTGGAAAATAAAAGATTAAAACAGCAACATGGCACCATGCTTACATTAACAACAGCAAAAAAGCTTTATAGTGAACCTCTGCATAGCATAGCTGCTTTAATCAAACAGCAAATCTGTACAGGATATGAATGCATGTGTATTCACATAAACACATTTGGATGATACATTTAGATAGTTTCTTATTCCTGTTAAGTGGGAAAATCTAATAATAAAAAATCATTAAATATTATAACCAAGTTGGGTGAAATTTGCATTTTATAATTATTCCATTTATACATTTTCTTTATAAAATAACACACTCGTTATGTGCTAGATACTTAATGTACATGATTTCATTCTATCCTCACAAAAATCCTATATCCAAAACACTATTATTACCCCTATTTTATGAAATACAAAATAATTGAGTCAGAGGAAGCAGAGTCACTTACATTAAGTAGCTCAGCTTTATAAATCTGAATTAAGACCAAGCTTAGTTGGTGCCAAAGTCATTTTTAACCAGTACCCTTTATTGTTTATTTTTTACAATGTGCTTTATAATGGAAAATTTTAGTAACTGTCTTGACCTGAAAATTGTGTTACTGTTTTCTTCCTGCAGGGTCACTGGTTATGGATTTAGGAACTAAGCCTAATCACTGACATACTGACAACTGGATAAAAACTGAGAGTATAATTTGGAGGCAAATGTGAAAGAATCAGGATTTAGTTAGGACTTTGTTTTTAGAATGTTTTGAAATGTTTTTGGGACATTTACAATTATGAATTAACCCAGAGTCCTAATAAACTTCCTTGCTCTGAAGTCTACTCTGTCTGAAATTAATATAGCTAGTTCAGCTTAGTTTTGATTAGTGTTAGCATGGTATATGCTAACCATCTTCTTACTTTTAATATATGTATCGTTATATTGAAAGTGAGCTTCTTGAAAACAACATATAGTGGAGTCTTGTTTTTTGATCCACTCTGACAGTGTCTTTTACTTGCTGTGTTTAGACCATTAACTTTTGAAGTGATGTCTGTCTACCATGTCTATTACTGTTTTCTATTTGTTTCCCTTGTACTTTGTTCCAATTATTGTCTTCCACCTTTTTTCTGCCATTTTTGGTTTTAACTGAGCATTTTATGTTATTCCATTTTCTCTCCTAGTGTTATATTTATTTATTTACACTATTTATTTATTTCAGTTATATTTCTTTATTCACTGTTTTTAGTGGTTGCCCTGGAGTTTGCAATGTACTACTAATCCAATTCCACTTTCAGAAAACACTATAGCCCTTTGTGGGTACTGCAAGTGCCTTACGCTATTCCTAATTCCTCCCTTCCATCCCTTATATCACTGCTGTCATTCATTGCACTTATACATAAGCTATAATAATTGGATACATGGTGGCTATTATTATAACTGTTATTTGTTAGATCAATTAAGAATAAGAAAAATAATTTTAACTTATCTTCGCTTATTCCATTTCTAATGATTTTCCATTTTTTGTGCAGATCTGAATTTCTGACCCATATCAACTGCATTCTCTAGGAAGAACTTAACAATTTTTGCAAGTCAGGTGTACTGACAACAAACTCCCTCAATTTTTGTCTGAAAAAGTCCTTTATTTCACCTTTACTTTTGAAGGATAATTTCTCAGGATACAGAATTTTAGATTGTTGGATTTTATTTAAGTATTTCACCCCACTCTTTTCATGCTTGCATGGTTTCTGAGGGGAAGTCAAACATAATTCTTTATTCCTTTATAACTGCTTTTTTTTTGCTTTGGATCTTTCTATATTTTTTATGTGTGATTTTTCTGTATTTTGACTATGATATGCCTAGGTATCCATTTTGAGGGGTTTATTGTTGTTGTTGTTTTGGCATTTATCCAGCTTCCTATATCTGTGGGGTTTTGTTTGATATTAATTTAGGGAAATTCTGAGCCATTATTGCTTCAGCTATTTCTTCTGTTCCTTTCTGTCTTTATTCTCTTCTGGTGCTCCCATTATGTGTATGTTATACCTTTTGTAGTTGCCCCACAGTTCTTAGAGATTATGTTCCTTTTTATTTTTTATTGTTTTGATCTTTTTGCTTTTTTAGTTTTGGAAGTTTCTATTGACATACCCTCCAGCTCCAAGATTCTTTCCTGAGCTGCGTCCAGTCTATTAATGAGCCCATTGTCAAAGGCATTCTTCATTTCTGTTAGTGTTGTCTCCAGCCCTTCTGATTCTTTACATTTTCATCTCTCTGCTTACCTCACCCATCTGTTCTTTTATGTTGTCTACTTTTTCAATTACAGCCTTTCTAGTGTTTCAAATTCCCAGTCTGATAATTCCAACATCCCTGCTATATCTGAGTCTGGTACGTGACTGCTTTGTCTTTTCAAATTGTGTTTTTTGCCTTTTAGTATACCTTGTAATTTTTTGTTGAAAGCTAGACATACTGTACTGGGCTAAAGGAACTCTGATAAGTAAACTTTTGGTGACATGGTGGTAAGGTATGAGGGGAGGGGAAGCATTCTATGGTTCCATAATTAGGTTTCAGTCTTTTAGTGAGCTGGTGCCCCTGGCCTGTGAACTTCACAAGTGCTTCTCAGTTTTTTCTCCCTCTAGGTGGGAAAGGACAGCTACAGTAGGCTGGCGTTGGGTATTCCCTTCCCCCAAGTCAGTTAGGCTCTGATTAAACCCTAGTAAGTTAGGCTGTGATAAAACAATTTCTCTTGAGGACAGGCCTTGTTAAAAGGAACAGAATGCTCTGGCATATTTCAAAATGGTTAATTGTCTCTTCCCCGCTACCAGAGGCACAGGGGATTTTTCTCCCATCGTCACTCTATAAACCTGGTTTATAGAACGTGTGAAAGTGTGTCCGTGAAGGTGGGGGGTCCATGGAGTTTTTAGCTCAGACTTATTCATACTGAACTTCCAGCAATTTGCCTATTACAGTTTAGGTTTTCCTATCCAGGCACTGTTTCCCACGGAGGTTTCTGCTTATGGGTTTCTGCTCTGGTAAATAGTAATTCTCTCTATCCATCTGTCTGTTTCTCCAATTTGGGGGACAGCAATTTTCCTGTCACCTTGCTTTTCGCATAGAAGAGTTACTGATTTTCAGTTTGTGAGGACAGAGTGACTTCCAAGCTCCTCACCTGCTAGACCAGAAACTGAATAAGCTTCTACAAGTCTATAAAATACAACATGAAAAATTCCAGCTGAGGTAAACACAACACTTTTTTACGTGATTTAAGAAGCCCTTTTCTACCAGGAGAAACTACTGGGCAAATGACTAGAAGACACTGAAGGCTTTTCTGAGGACTTCACGGGCAGGGAAGCCCTCTACCCGAGAGCTCCAAGACAGCTCACCTTGACACCTGGTCAAGATAAGGGGTCACCAAGACAGCTGTATTTTTAAAAACAAAAAAACTTTATTTCTGAAGTTTAATCAGAAATCTTAACTAATGTGAAGGTGCCAAGAGCGCAGCCTTCAAATTGTTAGATGTTAGAGTTCATTTATCAACACTTAATAAATATAACAAATGTATACCTGGCAATTACGTGACCTCTTCCTCCCTTGAAAAAAAGGATATTTAACTGTGGAAAGGAACCTGACAGAGTGGCCTCTTTTAAAAAGCCATCCTGCTTAGCACAAATCAGAAGACGTTCATAGTCACTGTACTGACTGCTACCTGTAAACTAGAAATACAATCCTAATCCCCCCACTGACCGAGTGGACCCCCTCTTAACCAAGTGAACCCCAGAGAAACCTTAAAAACTGAGTTGTCAGCCATGACGGTAAGGGATGTTGGACATGCCTCATTATACCCCCCACCATTTTGGAATTTAGTCACAACTGACCAGGATTAATGTTAAAATAGAGATCATAGACTGCCACAACAGACTGTTTGTGGCAATAAGATGCCAAATTACAAACAAGACCTAAGCCATGCAAGGCAAGGGTTAAGTCACATCTGCAGGCCATCAGTCTAGCTAAACAGGTCATTTTGACCCAGTATGTTGTGGCTGACTCTGGCAAAGCATCCTTATTGTAAAAATTTCTTTCCGCTGACCTCAAGTTTTAGACAGAGCCTTACTCCTTTAACCAATTACAAATTAAAGAATCTGGAAACCTGCCTATAACCTATAAGCCCCCACTTAAAGATATCTCACTTTTTAAGGCCAAACCAATGCAGACCTTCCATGTATTGATTTATGTCTTTACCTGTAACTCCTGCCTCCCTAAAATGTGTAAAACCAAACTGTGGGACCACGTACTCAAGACTTCCTGGGTTTTTATTTTTCCCAGGCCACAGTCACTCATATTGACTCAAAATAAGCCTCTTTAAAATATTTTGCAAGTTTGATTTGTCCGTTAACATCTCTCTACCCTTCTTCATATCTGAAGCCTTGTGAAATGAACTGCATGACAAAATTCTTCAATCCTCAGTAATACTGACCCTCCTCAGGGAAATGGAGACATAACATTCTTATCATATTTTCCAACAAGATGATGCTCAGGTTGGTTGAAGTCTATCGATATTCTTGTCCATCCCCAGGATTAAGGTAGGCTCTATGTAAGTTATTTTTTTTTAAAGGAGAGGAACTGACCCATGTCCAGTTTGAATAACATAATAATACAGATGTAAATTTAATGAACATTCTGAAGGCAAACGAAATTGTTTCAGGTAGAGATATGGACATTTTAAGAAAACCTGAAATTATCTCTTCTACCTGTGCTTTCTCTAAATTAAGGACATGTTTAAGAATATGTAAGGAAGCCCAGTAATCCCAGCTACTGGGGAGGCTGAGACAAGAGAATCGCTTGCACCCAGGAGGCGGAGGTTGCAGTGAGCCGAGATTGCACCACTGCACTCCAGCCTGGGTGACAGAGCGGGACTCCATCTCAAAAAAATAATAATAATAATATGTAAAGAAGCATGAAATAATTATGCATATTACATTAAGTTTTAAAATATGGTTTATTCAGATAATATAAATCAGGTTTCCTTTTACAAATGAATCAAAATCAGTTTTACTTTTATTACAAAAATAATCATGAAACAGCTGTGTTTTCACATTACCTCTTAATTCTGGGAAGCAAGAAAAAAGTTATGAAGATTAAAAATAATCTTCTAAAAATACAAAGGAAATTATATTTTCTGAACAGATATAGTTGTTTGGACTCCAAGTCTCCCATTCTTTCTTCCTCACTATATTCCTTCTTTAACTATAGCACAGCACAGGGTCTCACTGATTCTCTGTGACCCATTTATATTTTTCATCACAAATTATCCTTGCAAGTGATCCCAAGATGCAACTGAATAAAACCTTAATGTATCACTTATACCTTGTAAAGTGGTGCCCAGAAAATAAAACAAAAAACACTAAAAATTTACAGCACATGGTTTTTATGAAAATAAATGCCTATTTCCTATTAATTTGATACAACATTTTGGAAAGAAATATAGCCTATGCCTAATTTAAATGCTAACTCCACATTTGTCATAAGAATTCACCATAGGAAAGAAGATTGGCTTGCTAAAAAAAATTCTGAAAAAATACATATGCCATATAAATGGTCTCAAGAGCTTGGTAATTAAAATTTTTTCCTACATGCTGTTCCACCTATTAACTGTGCTACTCCCCCCAACTCTAAAGCATTAGGAAGATTTTTATTAACTGGCATATCAGCTAGTTATTGCTGTGTAATAAACCATCTAAAATGTAGGGATGTAAGTCAACAAATCTGTCTTTATCTCACAATTTGGTGGTTTGACAATTTCAAATGATCCCATGTTGGTTGCTCTTGCCGTAACTCCTAATATCACTAATGCATGACATCAGCTGCCATGTTGGCTGTGTGGCAGCTATCTAAGAAGGACTAAGCTGGGATGGCACATTTCTCTTCTACACAGTCTCTTATCATGAATAAGCTTGCTCAAGCTTATTCGTGTAAGCTGAGGAAGATTCTAAGAAAGAGCAGAAGCATGCGAGCTTGAGGCCTAGGCTGAGAATTGGCACAACATCACATCTGCTACATTTTATGGGCAAAATCAAGTCACAATGCCTTCCCAAATTCCAGAGGTAGAGAAACAGATGGCACCTCTTGATGGAAGAAAATACATCATATTTTACGAGATGTGAATATAGACAGGGGTAGAGAATTATGACCATTTTGGAAATCTACAGTACTGCATTTGGTTTTTGTGCCTCTTTTATAATTAATTTCAAAAATGAAGCCTCTGAGCATTTATTTCATATAGTGACTTATAATATTTGAAGTATAACTTCAAGAAAGTCTTCCTTGAGCATCCCAGCCAAAAGTGACATATTTTAACTCAATATTAATCAATCATTCAATCATGCTATTCTGCTGTATTTTCTTTACTTGGGAGCTCCTATTAGACCATGAGTTTTGAAGGCTAGGGATCAGTTTTATCTTTTCTTCTAATGTGTGATCATTGCTTTCTCAATGCCTGCGCTCAATAGGTATTCAATCAATATTGTTTACTGACTAAGTGACTGAATGAACAAAGGAATGAATCCTCTATTAAATTAAAAACTCATTGAGAAAGGGGCTGTCTCAACTAATTTGTATCTCCCATAGCCTCTAGGCATTTATTTCCATATGGTAGGTCCTCTATAAGTAATTGTTAAGCACATTTTTATAGGAAGAGCAAAAGTTGTAGTTGTAAACAGAATTGCAACTCTGCAACTCAATTCAATACCATGATCTTATCTATAAAGTCAGATGAAATTAATTCCAAGTAAAAGCAGCCCAAGGAAATAATAACCATTGAATCTGATCTCATCTAAAATGAAGTAGTTTCCCATTACTTGGAAAAATTTTATAATAAAATAATATTTTTATTTCATATTATAAAAATATTGAATCAGAAATATATCCACTTGATTTTTTCATCTCCCATTTCTCAAACTTAGTATATGGCAATGACATTTGAAAATACACAGTACATCTGGTTGTAAAATTCAGAAATGACTCATAGATTAAGACATACACTGAAATATTTTATGTTCATACATATTAAACAAATTTTGGATGCTCCCACAATTACTAAGGTCACTTTCTATAAAGTCAGATGAAATTATTTCCAAGTAAAAGCAGCCCAAGGAAATAATAACCATTGAATCTGATCTCATCTAAAATGAAGTAGTTTCCCATTATCAATTATTAAAGACAAATGAGAATTGACTATCAAACATAATAAGGTGTCAGTACAATTAGGTTATGATAGTAAAAAGATATTTTTGTACTCATTGCACTTTGATTTTTCAAATGCTTCTATTAGACTCCACCTTCTGTGGAAGGAGTGTCAAAGAAATTGCAAACATAACTTTTGATCACAAATTTTTATATTCCTTTCATACACAAAATATACTCCACTTACTTAGGCAACCGGGTGTGGATGAGTCTCCTCAGATGCTATTTATCAAATACAGCTCCCTTGGTTTACCTTGTTAACTTCTCTCAGTTTTTATGCATTCACTTTGTCTAATTCGTAAATGATATATGAATAAAAATTCTTAAAAGAAGGGTGGCAAATATTGCACACATACGTGTTCAATGACACAAAAAGCTGAGGAACAAATGGCCAAGAGCAGGCAACAGAGTTAACTCTCATGCCAACATGCAACAGGAAAACAGACTCCATATGAGCAAGTGATTTCAACTTAACAGAGCAAAAGCATTTAACCGGTATATCTGCAATATTTAAAATGTCAAATTCTATGAGTGTGAAATCTAACATTAGAAAAGACTTCCGATAGGTCTTTTCATTCATTCTTACAAATCTTAATTTTTTTCAAACATGGAAACATTTCAATGGCTCCAGTGAATGTTAGATTTCATAACTTTTCCATCTAGACAAGTTATTCTCTGTGTTACTGAAATAGGTCTTCTTAGTTCAGAATTTTATGTGCATAGTTAATCACATTTTGGTAGATTCTTTCTATGGACACTCAAATGTGAACCACAGGATGGAATGTAGCTACACACAAATCAGGGACAAGCAAGGCATAAGTTCTGGAGAAGCAATGGCCAAATATCCAATAAAATACATGGTGTAGGCAAAGTCAATGGATAATACCTAGTTCAACCACTAGAAATTTATGGTTAACAGCAAAACCAGGTAAAAATCAGTCATTAGAGCATAGGCTTTGAAGTCAAACAGACTTTTGGTTGAAATACTGTCTCCACTATTGACTGTACTAACTTGGGAAAATCACTTTATTAATTTATTCAACTTCCTTATCTGCAAAATGGGGATAATAATCCTAATAATGTGTTGTAGAGATTAAAGGAGATTATGCATATAAGGTTACTTTGGTGTCTCCTACATAGTTATGATAAATCAATAAATGATTACTGAGTGTTTTACTCTGTACTAGGCACTGTGTTGCCAGGGAGATACAGTGGCTCTCGACCTTATAAAACTTACATATAGTTCAATATAGTTTATAGTTATCATCAGGCCATGAGGTAAAAGTTAGGTTAAGGAGTAGAAGTGGAGATGAAGTGAAAGAAATGCTAGACACTAGTTTGTGAACTAGAGCAAAGGATAGAACATAGCTAACGTAAACAAAGCAACAAGAACAAACTTTCAAGGGGAAATGTAAACCAATCCAAACATATTGCCAGAATAGACCTGCTTTAAAAGAGCCAGGTGCATGTATTCTGGGTTGTGCTCCAATCCATTTAATATCACCAACTGGAGTTATTGAGTATCAATTGTGGAAAAAAGCATTATTTGGAGCCATATATATTAAAAAACAAAAAGTAGTGCAGAACAGTTCTGGCTCTCAATAGTAAATACAGCAGTAAGGAGAATAAGACAGTTAAAGGTCCTCTGTTCCAATTATCTAATGCTGTGTAGCCAACCACCTCAAACTTGTAGTTGCACAAAACAACATATTTTATCATAAATATGAAATCTGAGCAGGGTTAGCAGGAACAGCTTGTTTCTACTCACCATGGGCTGGGGCTGCACATCTAGTGCTTGGGCTGAGAAGACCCAAAACGCTGGGGCTGGGAAAGCTGGGACTTCTCAAGCATCTTACTGTCAATCTTTGTGTGGTCCCTCCACATGGTCTCTCCAGCATGGAGGCTTTAGGGTAGCTAGACTTCTTAAATGGCAGCTCAGGATACCCACGGCATGTGTCCTGAAAGACAGTGAGCATGCCAGCTGGAAATTCTATCACCTTTTACGACATAGCCTTGGAAACCATGCAACATCACTTCTGTCTCATTCTGTTTTGTTAGAAGCAAGTCATTAAGGCTCACCCATAATAAGGGAAGGGCAATTAGACTCCACCTTCTGTGGAAGGAGTGCCAAAGAAATTGTAAACATAACCTTTGGTCACAAATTTTTATATTCCTTTCACAAGCAAAATATACTCCACTTACTTAGGCAACCAGGTGTGGATGAGTCTCCTCAGATGCTATTTATCAAATACAGCTCATAAAATATAGCTATCCTCAATCCAAAGACCTGGTGAATGAAAGAGACAAGTTATATGTCCTTCACACACTGACATACAATGGTGGAAGAGGCATAGGATAATTACTACAGACTTTCCCATTGAAAAGGGAGGAAAAGAAAGGCAATAGTCCATAAAGGCAAAAGAAAGATACAATAGTCCATAAAAATTCTGTAATCCAGCCATGCACACACTATTGGCTCCTTGACTCAGGTCAGCTGTCTGATAATGCAGCATAGCATCTCCATGGGTCTTAGCTCTATGCTCTGAGCTCATAGTTCCTCCTCAAGTCATCCTTTTCCATTAAAAAATGCTGATGTTTGCAGCTAAGTAGTTTTCTCAGCCTGCTTCCTACCAGTATTACTTCAGAAATCCAAAGCTCTCTTTTTGTGATGGTCTGTCTCTGTCCCCTTTAGTCCAAGCTGGCAGTGTTTCTCCAAGTATACTTCTCTTAAAGCTTTGTGGGTCTCCTATGAATCATACTGGGGTTCACCCCATCTTCCAAAGTTACACCCACAAAATTCATCAAGATAAGCATTTCTCTACCTTTAGTTTCCTGTAAGGTTGCTATAGGAAAGCATGTTGACATTCTTAAAAGCCCTATTGTTTAGAAGAGACAATCTGCAATGCATGTGCCTCAAGATCCTTAGGGATAGTTACCTGTATGAAATACTACCTCAAATCTTTGCAAAGGGTTGTACAATAACACCCTTGAAATAATCTTTATTACTTATTTTCCTGACAGTGCCCTAAATTTGGCCTTCGTCCAAAAGCCTTTTCTTAATTTTAGCATCATTTGCCATCTGAAGAAACTACAATGAGAAAGTTGTATTTTTGATCCCAGTAAGTTCTGGCTTCTTTATATATTAAAGTTCTTTCTGTTGCTTAACACTCTCATCTGCCATTTTATAACAGGCAGCTAGAAACCAGGTGTCATCATCAACATTCTCCTTGGAAATCTACATCATTTTCTATTCCTATTTTCTATTTCTATTTTCTACGTTACTTCATATGATAGTGTTGCTTAACTTTCTGTCACTACCTAATAAATATCCCCATTCTTCCCAACTTTCAATAACATTATCTTTAATTTCCTTTCAGCCCTCACTATGAGCCACCTCTAGGGGCATATAGTTACACTAAGAATCTCTTCAAGGCCCTTAGACCTTCACTAACAATGTTGTTAAGGTTCTTCCAGCTTCAGACCACCACCTAGTCCTAAAGCCACATGTTTTAGGGTTTTGATATGGTAGCACATCACTCCCAGGTACCAAAATGTGTAACAACTATCTACTATGGGTTAAACAACTTCTCAAAATTTAGTGGCTTAAAATAACTTTCATGTTTCTCAAGAAGCGCACTCTAGGCAAAAGATTGCTGCAATAAATTAGAGAAAACCTGAATAAATAAAGAGATACAGCATATTCATTGATTATAAAACTAAACATTATTAAGATATCAGTTCTTCTCCAAATTGAGATAGCGAGTCAACACAATCCTTACCAAAATCTAACCAGGAATTTTTTAGTAGAAATTGACAAGCTGTAGCCAAAATCCCTATGGAAATGCAAGCAACCAAGTCTAGCCAAAGCAATTTTGAAAAAGAACAGGAAGTAACACTACAATCAAGATAGTATGATATTGGCATAAGAAGAGATATATAGATCAATGAAACAGAATAGAGTTCAAACTCACATGTATGGTCAATTGATTTTTGATAAAAGTGCAAAGTTAATTAAGAAAGAGTAGTCTTTTCAACAAATAGTGCTGGAGCAACTGGATATCTATGTGCAAAAACAAACATAAAAAATCCTAATAACCCTATATTATATACATTACAAAAATTTTCTGAAAATGAATCACAGACCCAAATATAAGAACTAAAAATAAAAAACTTCAGGAAGAAAAAGCAGGAGAAAATTTTTGTGACTACAATCAATATTTTTTAAAAGACAAATTTGATTTTATCAAAATTTAAAACTTTTGCCCTTCAAAAGACACCATTAAGAAAATTAAGATGATTCCTGGGCAAGATGGCTGAATAGGAACAGCTCCGGACTGCAACTCCCAGTGAGATCAATGCAGAAGGTGGGTGATTTCTGCATTTCCATCTGAGGTACCCAGCTCATCCTACTGGGACTGGTTAGACAGTGCATGCAGCCCATGGAGGGCGAGCAGAAGCAGGGTGGGGCGTCGCCTCACCCAGGAAGCGCAAAGGGTCTGGGAACTCCCTCCCCTAGTCAAGGGAAGCTGTGAGGGACTGTGCAGTGAGGAACTGTGCATTCCAGCCCAGATACAACACTTCTCCCACAGTCTTCACAACCCGCAAACCAGGAGATTCCCTCAGGTGCCTACACCACCAGGGCCCTGGGTTTCAAGCACAAAACTGGGTGGCACCCTATTTGGGCAGACACCAAACTAGCTGCAGGAGTTTTTTTTTCATACCCCAGTAGCGCCTGGAATGCCAGCAAGACAGAACTGTTCATTCCCCTGGAAAGGGGGCTGAAGCCAGGGAGCTAAGTAGCCTAGTTCAGCAGATCCCACCCCCACAGAGCCCTTCAAGATAAGATCCGCTGGCTTGAAATTCTTGCTGTCAGCACAGCAGTCTGAAGTCAACCTGGGATGCTCCAGCTTGGTGGTGGCAGAGGCGTCCTCCATTACTAGGACTGAGTAGGTAATTTTCCCCTCACAGTGTAAACAAAGCCACAGGAAAGTTTGAACTGGGCAGAGCCCACTGCAGCTCAGCAAAGCTTCTGTAGCCAGACTGCCTCTCTAAATTCCTCCTCTCTGGGCAGGGCATCTCTGAAAGAAAGGCAGCAGCCTGCACATTGTGCACATGTACCCTAAAACTTAAAGTATGATAATAATAACAAAACAAACAAACAAAATAAAATAAAATAAAATAAAAAAATTAAAAAAGACAAAGAATTTGACAGGAAAAAAACAAACGTTGAAGATATCAAAGAAGATCCAACAAATTGATAATAGAAGTGCCTAAAGATAAAAACTAAAGCAAAGGAACAGAATATCGTAGTAAAATGACTGGACTCTAATTTTTACAAAAGGAAAACAATGCTTTGGCATCTAGGCAAAAGAGCAAATGACTTATAAGGAAAAGAAAACCTGATTATTATCAAACATTTCAACATTTTATTCCATAAGCATGCAGAGTACATTGGCAACTTTTTTATAAATCTAAAATTATCCTAAAATAAAAATGTGTTTAAATTTTTCTTTAATTTGTTTTGAATTTAGAACATCAAATGAAATCACAAACTGTTTTATCTTTAAATAAGTGTGTGTGTGTGTGTGTGTGTGTGTGCATTTTTCTGCCTCTGCCTACTGTAAAGACATAAATAATGACCCAATGGCCAATCTAGCCCCCAAAATTGTGGACTTGAAGTATCACCTCCAATTTAAAAAAATGAAGACTTCTTGGAGAAATGGTCTGTTTTTGTTCTGGGGCAGAAAATACACACAATAAGCCTTACAAGGCCTTGTCATGCCAGACACCTTGTCATGCCAGACAGCAAGGA